>NC_000020.11:672395-823910 GCF_000001405.40 Homo sapiens | reverse complement strand
CATTATTTTTTCCTATTATGTTTCTACTTGTGGCAGATGAAACTGGTTTTCCATTTACAGAGCTGGTATAACATTTCTTTTTAAATTAAATCTATTTAAGTGAAGGAGAGTAAGTTCACTTAAGAAATAGTAAGTGGAGTTGGCTACAATTACAAAAGTGGACTGACACAAGTCACTGGTATTTGGGAAACCCACATTGGACACGTGGGGGAACCAAGGCCCAGAAAGCGGAGGTGACCTGGCCTGGATCACACGGAGCAGGTGGCAGAAGCCGAAGGGGACAGATGGAGAAGGCTGGGGGGAGAGGTTTGGGTCTCCCCTAGGGTTGGGGGTGGGGACCCTCCCCTCCCCAACACTGCAGCCTGTGCTGACAGAGAGGTCGAAGGTCAGAGGCTGAGCCTGACAGATGGGATTTTGCTGGGGAAGGAGGTTCCCGAGGGTGGGGATTTGGCCTTTGTCCTCATAGCATGCAGACCTCTCCTAAAAGGAAACGACCTTGTCCCCGTGGGCACTGCCCAGCCCCAGATGGCAGGGCCAGGCCAGAGGGGCGTTGGAGGCAAGGGAAGGCAGAGCCCCTCCTGAACAGGAAGGTCATGGCCTGGGACAGAGTCTTTGTGGGAACTAACACCCAAGACCCTCTACCCAGGGCTGGCACAGGCCTTCCCAGCTTTCAACCTGACTCTCTGCTTCACATGCAAATCAGATGCAAATGAGTCAACAGGCACTGGGAGCCCCGCCTCCCTTCCTCTCTGCTGGGGCCCCACAGGCAGGCGGGTCCAGACACCCAGGACTTCCAAAGCCAGGGCCTGTCTGCTCAACACCCTCAGACCCTCCACAGGGGCCGGATATGAAATGGGCTCCCCTGGTCCATCTCTGCCTGGAGGCTGCATCAGAGCCTGGGCTGCTCCTGCCTGTCCCCACCCATCCTCCACCCAGCACAGGCGGACCTTTCAGAATATAACTCCTATCCCATCCTCTTCCCACTCAGAACCTTCCACTGGCCTTCTGCGGCTCAGGCCTGCCCTCCCATCCTTCCCCTCTCTTGTCTCCTCTGGGACCTCAGACCTCCTCTAACCGAGCCTGTGCCTGGTTCTGTCCCTCAGCGCCCAGCTGGTGCTCACTTTGGGGCCTTAGCACAGGCTGTTGCTCCATCAGGAACACCCTTCCCCTGGTTCTTCTTCCCCTGCAGGTGCCTTCTCATCCACCTCTCAGCTGAAATAAAGTCACCCCTCAGCAAGGCCCTCCTAATGCTCTCTTCCACAGCAGCTCCTGTCAGTCCCTCCCACCACGAGTGGCATCTTAAATTATTTCATATGTATGTTTGCTTGTTTTTCTTTGCCTCCCACACCCCAGTATAAGTTCCACAGAGGCAGCAGCCTTGCCCCATTTCCAGTGCCTAGAATACTGCTTGGGACATAGTAGGTGCTCAGTAAATATTTGTGAGTAAATGAGCCAGGCACGGTGGCTCATGCCTGTAATCCCAGCACTTTGGGAGGCTGAGGTGGGTGAATCACCTGAGAGGTCAGGAGTTCGAGACCAGCCTGGCCAACATGGTGAAACCCCATCTCTACTAAAAATACAAAAATTAGCCAGGCATGGTGGCTAGCGCCTGTAATCCCAGCTACTCGGGAGGCTGAGGCAGGAGAATCGCTTGAACCTGAGAGGCAGAGGTTGCAGTGAGCCGAGATCACACCATTGCACTCCAGCCTGGGCGACAAGAGTGAAACTCCGTCTCAAAAAAAAAAAAAAAAAAAAAATTGTGAGTAAATGAGTTAATGAAGGACCAAATGTGCATTCTGAGCCCCCCGAAGAGGCAGACATTTATGAGTGGGAAGCGTAGTAGTAATGATCCCTTATTCATTCAACAAGTGTGCCGCACTACTGCTATGTGCCAGGTGCTGCAGTAGGGGATGGGGGTACAGTGGTGAGCAAGACAGATTCGCTGTCTGCTTTGTACGTCCACAGCTGGAGGGAGGCAAAGGCCAACAGGGCACTACAGTGCTGAGTGATCCTGGGCAGCTGTGGGGCCCAGGAGAGAGTCCCTTAATCCATTCCAGGGACCAAGGCAGGCTTCTAGGAGGAGGTAACATCCTGGCTGAGGCTCAAAGATCAAGCAGGAGGGAGGGAGGGGAACAAAAACAGGCTTGGGGCTGGGGTAGGAGGGAAGCTGGGTCATGGAGGTCGCGAGAGTCCTCAAGGCCCTGTTTGGCGTGGGAGTGGGGACAGAGTAGGAGACCCTGTCCTGGCCTCACATATCCCCTTCTTACAGGCAAAAGTGCAGTGCCCAAAATCAGAGCAGGGACAGGCCCACACCCTCCAGCCCCACTGTCTAGTGCCCTTCCCCCTGCCACTGGCCTTGTAGGAACACCAGATCTTTCTCTGGAAACTTCTGGAGCCTCAGCCACCTCCATCACCTAGGGAAGGGGTCACCCTCTGGCTCCCCACGCTGCAGATGAACCCTGGCTTAAATAACAGTTACCCCAACCTGGAGAAAGTGACCCCCTTTCTGAGTCCCTTTCAAGTCTCATCACATCCGTGAGAAAATGTTCTTTGCTGCTGCCCTGTCTTCAGATTTAGTAGCCACTGATCTCCTATTTATGTCAAACAGAGAGCAGGTCTCCACCCACAGCTCTGGGCCTGACACTGTGTCCATTTCCAGGGATCCTTTCTATTTATAACAGAAGATAACTTGCTTGTCACTTGGTATATCGAGTTTCCTTTTACAATAAATCCACTGTCAACTGTAAAACACAATTTAGGGGAATTGCCACTGGGGAAATCCATTGTGGATTAAATATTAGATATCTTTGACTGATGCAGACTAAAGTATTTGGGGATGAAAATTCATGATATCTGTAATTTACATTAAAATATTTCAGAAAGAAATAGATGAAGCAAATATGGCAAAATGCTAATGTTATATCTGAGTGTTGGGTATATAATTCAAAATTATATAGACACACTCTTCTGTGTGTCTAAAATTATTCTAATTCAACCTAAGTGAGTTGATTTAAATAAAACATTGGCCAGGTGTGCTGCTCCTGCTTGTAATCCCAACACTCTGGAAGGCCAAGGCGGGAGGATCACTTGAGCCCAGCAGTTTAAGACCAACCAGAGCAACACAGTGAGACCCCCATCTCTACAAAAAATTAAAAAATCAGCTGGGCATGGTGGTGCATACCTGTGGTCCCAGCTACTCAGGAGGCTGAGGCGGGAGGATCACTTGAGCCCAGGAGGTCAAGGCTGCAGTGAGCAGTGATCGTGCCAATGCACTACAGCCTGGGTGACATAGTGAGACTCTGTTTCAAAAAAAGAAAGAAGAAAGAAAGAAAAGAAGGAAGGAAGGAAGGAGAGAGAGAGAGAGAAAGAAAGAGAGAGAAAGAAGAAAAGAAAAAAAGAAAGAGAAGAAAGAAAAAGAAAGGAAAGAAAGAAAGGAAGAAAGAAAGAAAAGAAAGAGAAAGGAAGGAAGAAAGAAAACATTCTGAGAACAATCTTCATGGCTGACCCTGGGTATGGCCAAAAGTGTGAACATGAAATGAGAATGGAAGAAGACTGGGAAAGGCAGAAAGAACCTTCTGGGCTGGGAAAGCCAGCCCTGTATCTGGGAGGCACACAGGCCCTCCGTATCTATCTCCTCCCTCATCTGCAGCCCCTTCCCCTGGGCCCCCCTGATTCTCCACCGCAGCCCTGGCACCTGGTGCTCTAAGAAGCTCTTCTCCGGTACATCTGCTCTTGGGTTTGGGGCCAGGGGTCCAGGCATTTGTCCTCTCACTGTCCACCTCATGGGACAGGCAGGGAATGTGAGGTCCAGGCCTGACCCAACTTCCCTGTCCTGGGGCCTGGACTCTTCCTAAGGACCCAGGACAGAGTCCTGCAGAGGGAAGAGGAAGGAGAAGGCTGAGGGTGCAGAAAGAGCCAACAGCAAGCCTTCAGCCCTCAGCCAGCTAGGGTCATACACAGAGGTAGGGGACAGGGCCCCAGAAGTCTGAGGTCCCTGAGATCAGAGAATCGCAGTGCAGGCTGTAACCCGCAGCCCCGGCAGGAGAGGGTTCTCCCCTCTGTAGCTGTGTCCCCTCCGTCAGTGCTGCCCCAGTTTCCCCAGCTCAGGAGAGGCACCCTCCACTCATTGCTCAAGCAGAAGCCTCAAAGTCACTCTCAACTCCACCTTCACCCCCAAATCCAGTCGGGTCCCCCTCTTCAATGTCTCCCCTTTTATTCACTTAGTCAACAAATGAATCTTAGTTTGGGAGGCCGAGGCAGGCAGATCACTTGAGGTCAGGAGTTTGAGACCAGCCTGGCCAACATGGCAAAACCCCGTCTCTACTAAAAATACAAAAATTAGCCGGGCGTGGTGGCGGGCGCCTGTAATCCCAGCTACTCGGGAGGCTGAGGCATGAGAATCACGAACCCCGGGAGGCAGAGGTTGCAGTGAGTGGAGATCGTGCCACTGCACTCCAGCCTGGGTGACAGAGTGAAACTTTGTCTCAAAGAAAGAGACAGAGAGGGAGGAAGGGAGGGAGGGAGGGGGAGAGGGGGAGGGGGGAGAGAGCGGGAGGGAGGGAGGGAGAGACAGAGAGAGGGAGGGAGGGAGGAGTAGGAGGAGAGAGGGAGGGAGGGAGAGAGAGAGAGGGGGGGAGAGAAAGAGAGAGGGAGAGAGGGGGAGAGAGAGAGAATCGCAGGCGCAGGTTCCCCTTTCCCACCGGAATGGATTTTTTGGTCAAATCCGTCAGAAGGCGACCTCTGCTGGCGAGTTTTTAAAACTGCAATCCCTCCGGTCGCCTTAAAGGACCAAGAACAAGATCCCGCCAGCTGCATAAAATCAGAAGCTGGGCCCGGCGCGGTGGCTCACGCCTGTGATCCCGGCACTTTGGGAGGCCGAGGCGGGCGGATCACGAGGTCGGGAGATCGAGACCGTCCTGGCTAACACGGTGAAACCCCGTCTCTATTGAAAATAAAAATAAAAAAAGATACTAGCCGGGCGTGGTGGCGGCGCCTGTGGTCCCAGGCCCGGGAATGGCGTGAACCCGGGAGGCGGAGCTTGCAGGGAGCCGAGATCGCGCCACTGCACTTCGCCCGGGCGACAGAGCGGGACTCCGTCTCAAAAAAAAAAAAAAAAGAAAATCAGTCAGAAACTGGTGGGGCACGGTGGCTGACGCCTGTAATCCCAGCACTTTGGGAGGCCAAGGCGGGCGGATCAAGAGTTCAAGACCAGCCTGACCAACATGGAGAAACCCCGTCTCTACTAAAAATACAAAATTAGCCGGGCATGGTGGCACATGGCTGTAATCCCAGCTACTCAGGAGGCTGAGGCAGGAGAGTCGCTTGAACCCGGGAGGCGGAGGTTGCGGTGAGCCGAGATTGCGCCATTGCGCTCCAGCCTGGGCAACAGGAGCGAAACTACGTGTCAAAAAAAAAAAAAAAATCTGAAACTACGCCCCACCCCTCACTCATTCTACAGATGAGGCTATTGTGACTCACCTAGAATTAAGCTCTGGTCTCCTCCACCACTGCCCCTGCCGGCCTCCCAGCAATTGTTTTCCACAGCTGCACAACACCCTCTGGAAGGATGCTGCCATGCTGCCTGGCTTGCGCCTACCTCAGGCTTCGGCACTCCTGACACCCCAGAGTAGCCCCTACCCTCCCTCCCTAGCTGGGTGGGAAAACTATGCCCCATCCTGGGCTGGACTTTCCATCCGCTGCACCCCTGGATTCCTATCCTAAAGTCTGGCATCCATTTGCCATCCACACACCTGGAAGCTGCTCACCTGCCCAGTTTCTCCCGCTTGGGTAAAGGGACTATTCCTGGATCTGTATCATGTGCAGATGGCCCCAGCCTCCCCCCATCTCCAACCCCCAGCATGCCTTAGGCTGTCATTATTCTTCTCACGGGACAGGGCCAAGAAGAGGAAAGGAGGTCCCAGGTGTGGTCTGAGCAGAGCAGAGGGGGCTGTCACCTCCCTTGAGCTGCACGTAAGACTTCTATTGATGCAACACAAGATAGCATTTAATTTTTGTTGTTGTTATTGTTCCTTTTTTTTTCTCTTTTCCTTTTTTTTTTTTCTTTGAGCCGGAGTCTTGCTCTGTTGCCCAGGCTGGAGTGCAATGGCGCAGTCTAGGCTCACTGCAACCTCTGCCTCCCAAGTTCAAGCGATTCTCCTGCCTCAGCCTCCTGAGTAGTTGGAACTGCAGGCACGTGCCACCACACTCTGCTAATTTTTGTCTTTTTAGTAGAGGCAGGGTTTCACCGTTTTGGCCAGGCTGGTCTCAAACCCCTGACCTCGTGATCCTCCTGCCTCAGCCTCCCAAAGTGCTGGGATTACAGGTGTGAGCCACCGCTCCCAGCCTTTTTTTTTTTTTTTTTTTTTTCATTTTTTAAAGTAATTTTTAATTTGTGGTTATATAATAGCAGGGTTACAGATTCCTGGAAAGTTAAAATGTTTCAGTTTAGTCTAAAGTCCCCTTTGGGGGCCCGGTGCAGTGACTCACGCCTGTAATCCCAGCACTTTGGGAGGCCGCAGCAGGCAGATCACCTGAGGTCAGGAGTTTGAGACCAGCCTGGCCAACATGGTGAAACCGAAACCCTGTCTCTACTAAAATAAAATACAAAAATTAGCTAGGCGTGGTGGCGGGTGCCTGTAATCCCAGCTACCTGGGAGGCTGAGGCAGGAGAATCACTTGAACCTGGGAGACAGAGGTTGCAGTGAGCTGAGACTCTGTCTCAAAAAAAAAAAAGAAAATTAAAGTCCCCTTTGATCACTCCTCATTTTCCTTTTTGTCCCCTGCCCCTCTCTACACACACAATAACAAAAGTAACCACTGTTGTCAATTCGACATTTACCTTTCCAGATTTTCCCTGTAGATGTGTATGTGGTAAATACACACTCCCCAAACTAATATGTAGAATTTATGGGAGGCTGAGGCGGGCAGATCACGAGGTCAGGAGTTCGAGACCAGCCTGACCAACATGGTGAAACCCCGTCTCTACCACAAATACAAAAATTAGCTGGGTGTGGTGTCACACGCCTGTAATCCCAGATACTCAGGAGGCTGAGGCAGGAGAATTGCTTGAACCTGGGAGCCGGAGGTTGCAGTGAGCCGAGAACGTGCCACTGCACTTCAGCCTGGGCGACAGACTGAGACTCCGTCACACACAAACACACACACACACACACACACACACACGCACAAAGGAATTTATTTGTGGAGATTTTTTTTTTCACATAAATGGGATTATACTGTACATATTTATCCTGGAAATTCCTTTTCTTATTTTTTTTTTTTAGATAGAGTTTCCCCTGTCAGCCTCCCAAAGTACTTGGGATTACTTGACCTCGCCAAGTTTTGGGATTACAGGCGTAAGCCACTTCACCTGGCCTATCCTGAAATTTATTTTTCCCCTCTGTTCTGGGCTTTTGGGCTCAACTGTGGGCATAAGGGGGTTTTGGCTTTGCTGGGATCTGCATCAATGCTGCAGGCTCTTAGGGGAGCTAAACGGTCCTTACCTGGCGTGGAGGCCCCCTCAGAAGGCCCTCTCTCTGCCTTCTTCTCCCACATGTCCTTTTACCCACTCCCCTTTCTTCCATCTCCCACCTTTTTCTCACCCTAGCATTAAGGCCCCACACAAGCCATTGGTGAAAAGGTCGTTAAGTCACCAGATGCTTTTTTTAAAAGGTTTGTCTCCAGAATGTGGGCTCCCTGCGCCTCCTGGTGGCTCCTTTGAGTAACTGCAGCGGCACTGTCAGCCCCTAATCCATTCATTCATCCTTCAATCCCTCCACCCATCAATGCCTTCACCAAGCACTGCCCACCTACTGACTACCGCGTGAACCCTCTCTGTGCGAGCCCTGGGAGAAAAGACACGGAATGGAATATCTCTGCCCTGGACACTCTCCCGCTAGAATGTGAGCTCCACCGTGACCTGCCAGAAGAGTCTACAAGTTGGAGGGAGCAGCACTTTGTGCTGAAACCCATGGTCCAGGCACAGCTCCTTTGGAAGGCAATTGGGTGATCTCTCTCAAGTTCACTGCCGGGAATTAATTCTGCAGATATTCTGTCCATGGGCAAAATGACAGACTGACAGAATGTTTATTGCAGTATTGTTTTTGTTTGTTTTTTGAGACAGATTTTTGCTCTTGCCCAGTTGGAGTGCAATGGCGAAATCTAGGCTCACTGCAACCTCTGCCTCCTGGGTTCAATAGATTCTCCTGCCTCAGCCTCCCAAGTAGCTGGGTTTACAGGAGTGCGCCTCCACGCTAGGCTAATTTTAGATTTCTAGTCGAGACCAGGTTTCACCATGTTAGCCAGGCTGGTCTCGAACTCCTGACCTCAAGTGATCCACCCATCTTGGCCTCCCAAAATGCTGGGATTACAGGCGTGAGCCACCGCACCCGGCCTGCGGTATTGTTCTTGATGGCACATGGTAAGCACCTAGTAATGGCAGTGGGCGACATTTGTCCTGGTGCATCTGGATAATGGAACACCATGCGCTAGCGGAAGGAGCCCCACCTGCCCTGCAGGTTCACCTCTGACCTCGCCTTTCCCTCACTCTACTCCAGCTATCCTGCTCTCAGAGCCAGCACCAGAGACAGCTTGCCACCTTTAGGTCTTGCCAGTCATCCTCCTGTGATCCACTCCTCCTCAGAGGGGCTCTACTGGCTGCCCCCACCCTGCACCTGTCCCCACTCGGTCCTCCCTCCACTCCAGGTCCCTCTCACTTTTTTCCTACAGAAAGCATCTTATAACATACTAAACCATGTATTTATTTATTTGTTGTATTTATTATCTATTGTCTATCTCCTTACACTAGAATGTCATCTCTCCAATGGAAAGGACTTTGTTTATTTTGTTCAGTTTTATATCCCAAGCACTTCTCATAGTGCCTGACATAGAGCTGACGATAAATATCTGTTGAACAAAGGAATGAATTCAAATGAATGAGTGAAGCCAATGAATGAGTGTCTCAATGTACAGAACACAGAAAGATCTGTAAGACATATAAGAGGAGAAAGGAAGCTGCAAAGTGATGTGTGTGGTGTGCTCCCCTGCATAAATAACATGGGTGGAATGCTGTTCTGTAAACCTAAGGCCGGGCTCAGTAGCTCACGCATGTAATTCCAGAACTTTGGGAGGCCAAGGCAGGCAGATTGCTTGAGCTCAGGAGTTCAGGATCAGCCTGAGCAACATGGCAAAACCCCATCTGCACTAAAAATATAAAAATAGTAGCCCAGCGTGGTGGTGCACATCTGTGGTCCCAACTACTCAGGAGGCTGAGGTGGCAGGATCACTTGACTCTGGGAGGCAGAGGTTGCAGTGAGCTAACATCGTGCCACTGCACTCCAGCCTGGGCAAGAGGTGACAATGAGACCCTGTCTCAAAAATAAATAAATAAATAAATAAATAAATAAAAATAAACTTATAATCGCTCAAAAAAATAAAGTATATTAAATAAATAGCAACAGGCCGGGCACGGTGGCTCACGCCTGTAATCCCAGCACTTTGGGAGGCCAAGGCGGGTGGATCACCTGAGGTCAGGAGTTTGAGACCAGCCTGACCAACATGGTGAAACCCCATTTCTACTAAAACCACAAAAATTAGCTGGGCATGGTAGTGCACACCTGTAATCCCAGCTACTCGGGAGGCTGAGACAGGAGAATCACTTGAACCCAGGAGGCAGAGGTTGTGGTGAGCCGAGATCGCGCCATTACACTCCCGCCTGGGTGACAAGAACAAAACTCCATCTCAAAATAAAAATAAAAATAAAACAAACAAATAAACAACAACAAAGTTTATAAACATTTCTGGAGATTACAAGGAAGGGAGAAATACATTGGTTTGGGGTTCATTCATTGATGTATGCAACAAGCATTTCTTAGGCTCCCAATATATACTGTTTGTATTAGATAAAGATATAAGGATAGGTTTCTTTGGAAAAGGTGGCATTTGAGACTGGCTTTGAAATATGGATCAGATCCTGCCAGAAAGAGACAGGCAGAAAGGATATTCTAATGGAAGGATCAGTATGGAAATTTTGGTGGCTCAGACGTACTACAAATACTTACAGAATTATTACCAGAAAGGGGTACCAAACCAGACCCCAAGACAGGGTTTCTGGACCTCACACAAGAAGGAATTTGGGGTGAATCCATAGAGTAAAGTGAAAGCAAGTTTATTTAAGAAAGTAAAGGAATAAAATAATGGCTACTCCATAGGCAGGGCAGTGGCATGGGCTGCTCAGCTGAACATACTTATAGTTACTCCTTGATCGTATGCTAAACAAGGGGTGGATTATTCATTGTTTTACCAGGAAAGGGATGGGCAATTCCCAGAACTGAGGGTTCGTCCCCTTTTTAGACCATGTAGGGTAACTTCCTGACGTTGCCATGGCATTGGTAAATTCTCATGGTGCTGGTGGGAGTGTCTTTTAGCATGCGAATGCATTATAATTCCTATATAATGAGCAGTGAGGACGAATCGAGGTCACTTTCATCCCCATCGTAGTTTTGGTGGATTTTGGCCGGCTTCTTTTACTGCATCCTGTTTTATCAGCAGGGTCTTTGTGACCTGTACTTGTGATACCAGTCCTGCCAAACTCCTATCCCATCCTGTGACTAAGAATGTCTGACCTTCTGGGAAAGCAGTTCAGTGGGTCTCAGCCTTATTTTACCCAGCCCCTATTCAAGATGGAGTTGCCCTGGTTGGAAGGCTTCTGACAGAATGGTAAGCAGTTCTGGTTGTAAGTAGCAAAGCCTAAAGTACAAGAAAAACATGGGCCAGGCATGGTGGCTCATTCATATGATCCCAGTAATTTGGGAGGCTGAGGTAGGTGGATCACTTGAGGTCAGGAGTTCGAGACCAGCCTGGCCAAGATGGTGAAACCCGTCTCTACTGAAAATACAAAAATTAGCTGGGCGTCATGGTGCATGCCTGTAATCCCAGCTGCTCGGGAGGCTGAGGCACGAGAATCACTTGAACCTGGGAGGCAGAGTTTGCAGTGAGCTGAGATTACGCCACTGCACTCCAGCCTGGGCAACAAAGCGAGACTCCATCTCAAAAAAGAAAAGAAAGAAAGAAAGAAAGAACACGTGAGAAAGTGTGGGGAAAAGAAAGAGAAATCAGATTGTTACT
This sequence comes from Homo sapiens, assembly GCF_000001405.40. Lineage (NCBI taxonomy): Eukaryota > Metazoa > Chordata > Mammalia > Primates > Hominidae > Homo > Homo sapiens. The sequence continues at coordinate 812,786 of NC_000020.11, read as the reverse complement.
GTGTCTATGTAGAAAAGGAAACATAAGAAACTCCATTTTGATCTGTATTAAGAAAAATTGTTTCTGCTTTGAGATGCTGTTAACTTGTAACTTTATCCCCAACCCTGTGCTCACAGAAACATGTGCTGTATTGGATCAAAGTTTAATGGATTTAGGACTGTGCAGGATGTGCCTTGTTAATATGTTTGCAGGCAGTATGCTTGGTAAAAGTCATCGCCATTCTCCATTCTCTGTTAACCAAGGACACAATGCACTGTGGAAAGCCACAGGGACCTCTGCCCAAGAAAGCCTGGGTATTGTCCAACGTTTCCCCCAACTGAGACAGCCTGAGATATGGCCTCATGGGAAAGGAAAGACCTTACCATCCCCCAGCCCGACACCCATAAAGGGTCTGTGCTGAGGAGGAGGAGTGAAAGAGGGAGGCCTCTTTGCAGTTGAGATAAGAGGAAGGCTTCTCTGCTCATCCCTGGGAATGGAATGTCTCTGTGTAAAGCCGACCATTCCCATTCATTCTATTCTGAGATAGGAGAAAACCGCCCTGTGGCTGGAGGCGAGATATGCTGGCAGCAATACTGCTCTGTTGCTCTTTGCTACACTGAGATACTTGGGTAAAGAGAAACATAAATCTAGCCTTCGTGCACATCCGGGCACAGTATCTTTCCTTGAACTTACTCATGATACAGATTCCTTTGCTCACATGTTTCCCTGCTGACCTTCTCCCCACCTGTTGCCCTGCTACACTCCCCTTGCTAAGATAGTAAAGATCATGATCAATAAATACTGAGGGAACTCAGAGGCTGGCGCCGGTGCGGGTCCTTCGTATGCTGAGCGCCAGTGCCCTGGGCCCACTGTTCTTTCTCTGTACTTTGTCCCTGTGTCTATTTCTTTTCTCAGTCTCTCATCCCACCTGACGAGAAATACCCACAGGTGTGAAGGGGCTGGCCCCCTTCAATAAAGCTGTCACGGTTTATTGGTCCCAGTTGAGAAAGGAATTATATGTGAGGTTTAAGTAGTTTTCTTAACTTGGTAAGCAACAGGGAGTCTTTGAAGGTTGATATTAAGAATGTATTCTTAAATTTAAAATTAAAATAATATAAGACCAGGCACGGTGGCTCACACCTGTAATCCCAGCACTTTGGGAGGCTGAGGCAGGCAGAACACTTGAGGCCAGGATTTCGAGACCAGCCTGGTCAACATGGCAAAACCCTGTCTCTACTAAAAATACAAAAATTAGCCAGGCATGGTGGCGGATGCCTGTAATCCCAGCTACTCAGGTGGCTGAGGCAGGAGAATCACTTGAACCTGGGAGGCAGAAGTTGCAGTGAGCCAAGATCACACCACCGCACTCCAGCCTGGGCGATAAGAGCGAGACTCCATCTAAAAAAAAAAAATTAATTTAATTTAATTAAAATTAAAATTAAAATAATATAAGAGGCCCCTGTGAGACTATGACCTGCAGTGAGACCACAGCATCAGGGCTGTGGGTCTGACCTAAGGAGGAACTTCCTGCTGTGGTTTGGAGGGGAGCATCCCTGGGAGTCAGGGATTGGGGACAGGAGAGGCCTCCCTACTAGGGGCCTGATGGAGAACAAGCAATCCCTACTAGACCTCCAGCTCCCCTAAGGAGCAAGTTCTTGTGTCCCTGAGCCCTGACAACCCAAAATAATCAAAAGTGGCTGCCCAGCGAGGTGTCAGAGCCTCAGCATTGGAAAGTGGTCCACTCGTGGATTAGTAAGGAGAATTTACTGCTGGGCATGGTGGCTCATACCTATAATCCCAGCACTTTGGGAGGCCAAGGCAGGTGGATCATTTGAGGTCAGGAGTTCAAAACCAGCCTGGCCAACATGGTGAAACCTCATCTCTACTAAAAATACAAAAATTAGCTGGACGTGGTGGTGGACGTCTGTAATCCCAGCTACTCTGGAGGCTGAGGCAGGAGACTCACTTGAGCCCAGGAGGTGGAGGTTGCAGTGAGCCAAGATCATGCTACTGCACTCCAGCCTGGGCAACAAAGTGAGATTCCGTTTCAAAAAAACAAAAAAAGAAGAAGAATTTATGGATAATAGTATTGGTTTGAAAAAAGGAAAGTTTTATTAGAAAGAAAGAACTCTGTAGAAGAGTGCAGGCAAGAATCTCAGCAAGATAGGATGGAGAGTGCCAAGGTGGATTTTTCCTCAGGGGCATTTATGCACCTTAAAGCAGGAGCTTAAGGATAATTTGGTCCACATTAGCCACATAGGTCACGCTAAATGATTACATTTGTAGACATTTTCCTGCCTTGATGTCAGCAAGGGTTGCATAATGAGTTTCAATATGCATGCATTCCAGAGATGTTTAGAAATGCTACTTACTGCAAATCAAGAGTTATCTGAGACAAGTCTCAATCAATTTAGAAAATTTATTCTACCAAGGTCAAGGACACACCAGTGACACAGCCATAGGAGGTCCTGATAACATGTGCCCAAGGTAGTTGGGGCACAGCTAGGTTTTATACATTTTAGGGAGACATGAGACATCAGTCAGCAAATACGTAAGATGTACATCAATTCCATCCAGAAAGGTGAGACAACCTGAAGTGGGGAGGGGTTTTCCAGGTCATAGGTAGATAAAGGACAAATTGTTACATTCTTTTGAGTTTCTGATTAGCCCTCCACTGAATATGCAACTTGCAGGAATAGTCACTTATGCCTTAGTCTGGCTTAGCGAAGCAATAGGGCAAAGGAAGCCATCAGATGTGCATTTGTCTCCCATGAGCAGAGGGATGACTTTGAGTTCTGTCTGTTCTAGGTACACAAGGAATTTCCTTGTGGGAAAATTGTGAGGGAGGTATGTAGCTTTTTAAAATCTTTGTAGCTATCTTATTTAGCTATCCCATTAGAATGGGAGGCAGGTTTGCCCGATGCCGTTCCCAGCTTGACTTTTCGTTTTGGCTTAGTGATTTGAGGGTCCCAAGTTTATTTTCCTTTCACATTTCCCCCCTTTTCTTTTTAAAAGCATTTTAGAAGAAAATTAGCCTCTGGTCTCAGGTTTTGTCTGATCTCTCATGACTAGGACAGTTTATTCATAGACAGGTAGGTTCCACATTATTAGGAAAGCTCGCTTTAGCAGGTTGTGAAGTCTCACGTCCTAAGAGAAAATGGGGGAGGAAAGGAGAAAAACAACAACAACAACAATAATCCTGGGAAATCAATATAGGCCATATTACTCTGAAGTTCATACACCAGTAGGCAGGTATGAAAGTAGCTTATGTATGTAAATAGATTGTCTAGCTTTAGTTCACAGGGCTTTAGGAAAGCACAGTTTAATGTTTGGTGATTTCTAATCAGGAAAAAATGTGGGGGGAAAAGGAAAGGAAAAAAGAAAAAAAATGAAAAAAATTATTTTGGGGACTTGTGACCAGGAAAAATTTTAGAGTTTAGTCCAAACTATAGAAAATAATAAAAATTTAAAAACACTAAGTGAGACTAAAATCTAACAACAGGTGTACTATAGGTGATTTTGAAACATAATTTTTTCTCTCTCCAGTCCCCTTTCACTGAGGACAAATTATAGAACAAAATTCATTTGCAAAATAAGTTTCTGTCTTATTATATTTGGCTGGAGTATTTGCATAAAATCATCAAGAATAATTATTTGCCATATAGGCTCCTTGTTTTTTTTTTAATTGGCTTTGCTGGAACTTTATTCCATAAGTAATCTCACATTCGACTTTAATGTCTTAAGCCCGGCCTGTGCCTGCAAATACCTGTATTAATTGGATGAATTCCTCACCTCAGGAAGACTTTGGGCTCCTGGGCCTGTTAGAAAGTGACACTCTTTACTTACCACAGGTCAGGAACCTGTACAGGGACTGTGTAGACAAGATAGGAGGCCAGCTTTCCCAAGATGCTTTTATTAGCTCTGTAAGTCAACTTTGATTCCTTAAAGGAGTCTGCATCTGATAGCATGTTGTTCCAGTCAAAACCTTGGTAAAATCACCACTGTCCCCAATTATGTCCTCTTACAAAAGAAAACAGATTCTTATTGTACTTGTGCAGATAACTATATTGCTATAAGTTAAGAATACTCCCAACTAGTTTCCAAATTTTAGAGAAACCAGATAGAGAGAAATATGCTCCAAATTTTGTTTATAGGAGTATAATTTCCTCAATTGTTAAAAGCTATAAATACAGAACTTGCCCTGCAGAGAAAGATAAAAGAAAAAAAGAAAGAAGATTATTTATTTGTTAATAATAATAATAATAATAAATTTTTTAAAAGCTCAAAATAAATGTTTTCTTGGCTCTGAAAAACAAAGAAAGGATTAGCAATGTTTTAAGCAAAAAGTCATAGAAGGATTATTTCAGTCTTCTATTAGTTCAGTCCATGCAGTTAACTCCTCTTCTGCTTGCTATTCATGTATATTTCAGCTCTCTATGGGAGTGTTGGATTTTTTTTCTCTATTTTAGTGTCACTATCTCCAAAACCTGTATTCAACAGCAACTGTCAGAGTCCTATGCTGATTGTAAAATCATCCTTTTGAAAAGGATAAAAGTAAAACAACTGTGGATGACAAAAGTTTTAGAAAAGTCATACTTAAAGACACAATTGACAAAGAAACTTGGTTACTTCTGTAGCATACAATAATTTTACATAATAATGATAATGATTAATAACATATACTAAGTCATTCATAATTATAGGATTTTCCCATAATTTTGGAACATATGCCAATAACATATTTATACAAATACAGCCCAAAGAAAGCCAAACACTATTACATATTTGACAATGCTTCCTGTATGATTTTTATGCCAAATAAGCTGACTGTGTCTCTTTTGGACTTCAGGGGACTAATATCAAAAAATCATTGAGGAACCAAGTTAGAATTTGACTTTGGAAAGTTTGTCAAATATAAAAAGTTTAAAGGCCAGGCACAGTGGCCTTTAAACACCTTTCACACCTGTAATCTCAGCACTTTGGGAGGCCAAGGCAAGTGGATCACCTGAGGTTAGGAGTTCAAGACCAGCCTGGCCAACATGGTGAAACCCTGTCACTACTAAAAATAGAAAAATTAGCTGGGTGTGGTGGCAAGTGCCTGTAATCCCAGCTATTCATGAGGCTGAGGCATGAGAATTGCTTGAACCTGGGAGGCAGAGGTTGCAGTGAGCCAAGATTGCACCACTGCACTCCAGCCTGAGTGACAGAGAGAGACTCCATCTCAAAATATTAAAATTTTAAAAATAAAAATAAAAAGTTTAAAATGCTTGATTTGGCTGGGCACAGTGGTTCATACCTGTAATCCCAAAACTTTGGGAGGCCAAGGTGGGTGGATCGCCTGAGGTCAGGAGTTCTAGACCAGCCTGGCCAACATGGTAAATGCTGTCTCTATGAAAAATACAAAAATTAGCCGGGTGTGGTGGCAGGCACCTGTAATCTCAGCTACTCGGGAGGCTGAGGCAGGAGAATCGCTTGAACCCAGGAGGTGGAGGTTGCAGTGAGCCAAGATCATAGCACTGCACTCCAGCCTGGGCAACAGAGTAAGACTCCATCTCAAAAATAAATAAATAAATAAATAAAATGCTTGATATCACAAAATAGGATCACAGATCAAGTCATTGTAAAATAAGTCTTTCATTTACTCAACTTGATAACTCAAAGATTTCAAAAAAAAGGCAAAAACCTTGATTCTTTGAGAGAGAAGACTTAATTGCCTAAACAATAAGCCCTAATAAAAACGAGGCCAATTAAATTTGTTTTTCAAAATGTATAAACAATCTATAAAATTTTAATCATCCTGACCACAAGATAAAAATTCCACAAGCCTTTTTTATAACCTTTATAACCTCTTTTATAACCTTTTATTAAGGAGTGGGTTAATTCTCCAAGAAAACCTTGTTAACGTGACACAGCAGCCCATATGCTAGTCTTGCATCAGTGTGCCTTTGAGATTAATGGTTAATTTATAGAGAAACTCAATTATTTTATCTCTCAAAATTGGCCTTATAATCATTTGATCTCTCAAAATCGGCCCTTACAATCTCATGCACCCACCTCTTCTTTGATAGTCTCCAGACCTTGAGGAGTTGAATCGTTTTAATTTCCGGCCTTCTGTCTCATGAACACAGTTTATTTTGATTGGCATCTTCTACCAGGTCAGAAAATGAGGTTTTAACTGCTGTCAGTGTTTAATATTTAGCAGGACTTGGTGTTCTTTTTAGACCAAGGACTCAAAGCTCTGTAACTTAATGGCACAAGGACTTTAAAAGCACATACAGAGGGTTACATGTATGTAATAATCTTAATTAAAAAAAATTTAATCTCGGGTTTTTTTCTAAACAAACCAAAACTTAGTAATAATGACATAGGAATTATTTCAATAAAGCATAAACTCTGTTTATTAGGCCAATTTCCCAAAGGGAAAACAAAACACCTTCTGCATTTCAACCGCTGTTCCCTACAGGAAATATTATGTTGGAAGGAATGTTTCCTTTAGACCACAAAGATAAAACATTTATTAGCGTCAGGCCACAACAGTTAGAACACAAAGGAGAAAATAAAAAAACTTACAGGAGCTAAAAATGAGTTGAAAGATAGAGTTATTATTTCAGGTACTTTAAAAGGGGAGAGAAAGCTGAAAACAGTGAGATGCAATAAAAGTTGAACTTTGCAGGAAAAAATATATTATATATATAGTCTTGTAATTTATTAAAAGTAAATCAATACCTTAAGAAAATGTTGTTCTAATGAATTCTTTAGTGTATAAATGTTTTTTAATATCAAAACCCAATCTCTCAAAAGATCATTATAAATAATTTCCCTTTAATTATAGACAACTTGATTATATGAAAGTTTGTGGGTCTTTTTCCATAAATGCTCTTATTATAACTTAAACAGACCATTCACGACATGCTTGGACTTTCTGGTTTGTATGAACATTCCTCTTTCTTAAACAACCAGTCATTTTATTCTAGGACAAAAATGTACCATACAAGGTTCTTTCTCATGTAAAATTATTTTTCTTTAAGCTTTCTTACCAAAAATTCTTTTTTATTTCTATAACTTCTTTATATATTTTCTTGTTTCTTTTTACCTTATTTTATATATAACCTTTAAATAAGCTTTGAATTAGACAAAAATTATCCTCCTTTTAACAAGAACACATTTTTTAGAAAAAAAATGATTTCCTGCAATATCTTTTTTAATTAAAAAAACCCAGTTAATGAAATATCTATTGTTTAATTTAACATAACTTTAGATCCTAAATTATGACAACTTTGTCTACAAGTATTTATCCCATTACATTTACCTAAATATTTTATTTTAATAGTTTACCCAGGTTAGTTATGAAAACTGTGATAGTCATCATTTAAAGTTATTTCCCTGTCAAACATTTGATAGCCTGTGAATTTCAGGTGTTTGCTAAGTAAAAACCTTAAGATTAAATATATTGTTATTTCACTAAATAATTCATGATTTAGCTGTTTTCATTAAACCAATATCAATGTCTTATTTATCAAAAATTACAAAAGCAAAAATCATTCTGTTTTGAACGGTTTTGTAGTTTTACAAACCCTATGCCAAATTTTGACACCTTACAGTATTTGGCAGTATATGAAGTCCCTTGATCAATAAATGCAAACAAAAATTTATGCTAACAATTTTTAAGACATTTCTAATATTACTTTACCAATAATTTTAAAGCTAGCTTATTAAAGATTTTACTTAAGTCACATGAACTTGAAAAGCATTTAGGCTTATTAATTTATGAATATTCTTTAACTTTAAGCCAATTCAGTACCTGTGGCTAGAAAACACAATGAAATAAGTGTATGTATGCATAAACACACACATACATACTCATACAACCAAAGATCCTATAGCTATTATCTCAGAACTCTAGCCATGAGATATTAATAGAAACTCGTTGGTTTGCTGAGATCATGCCATTGCACTCCAGCCTGGGCAACAGAGCAAGACTCTGTCTCAAAAAAAAAAAAAAATTAGCCAAGAGTGGTGGCACATGCCTGTAGTCCCAGCTATTCAGGAGGCTGAGGTGGGAGGACTGCTTGAACCTGGGAGGCAGAGGTTGTAGTGAGCTGAGATTGCACCACTGCACTCCAACCTGGGCACAGAGCAAGACTCTGTCTCAAAAAAAGAAAGAAAAATAATAGCAGACTTAAAACAGGCAGAAAAGAAAGCAGAGAGATAGAGAACTTAGGAACTTTACAGCTGGAGGTCAACCTTCAAGCTCTAAATTGTCTTTGACATAATTGTGCACAAAGAGACCATAATATGTCCATTTACACAAACACTTGCAAAGTAGAGATGCCGTAAAATCAATGGGGTACCTAAAAGAGGGTCATTCTCTTGTGAGAAGACTAAGCTCTGATTTTTTCTATCTTGCCTAAATTCCTATCTAAGGGGTCTGGGGAGTCATGCCCTACAAATCATAAATTCTCATCAGATGGATTTTATTTAACATTATATATGATGACTACTTTCCAATCTGACTCTGGCATAACATTACATGACCAAGAAGAAAGTCAATTGTTTTACCCCAAAACATGTTTCTTTGCCATATTTTGAAATGGTCCTGCCAAACTGTACTTTGTGGGGGAAAATTTGCAACTGTAAAGAATCTCTATTAGCATAGCTAGATCTTTTTATTTTAGGCCCTCCCAATCCTGAAGAGATTAACTAATAGTCTAGCACATTTTCAAAGGTCTGAATAAGAAACATTTGTCACCTATTGTCTCTAAGGGCAGCCAATATAAGACCTCAAAAGAACCTTGGACTCCACAGTCTTTTATCTTAACCTAAACATTTACTTTCTATTGATCCCGGGTCTTTAGACAAACTCAACCAATTGTCAATCAGAAAATGTTTAAATTTAGACCAGGCAAGGTGGCTCACACCCATAATCCTAGCACTTTGGGAGGCCGAGGCCGGTGGATCACCTGAAGTCAGGAGTTCAAGATCACTCTGGCCAACATGGGGAAACCCTGCCTCTACTAAAAATACAAAAATTAGCCAGGCGTGGTGGTGGGTGCCTGTAATCCCAGCTACTCAGGAGGCTGAGGCAGGAGAATTACTTGAAACCCATGGGGGCGGAGGTTGCAGTGAGTTGAGATTGTGCCACTTCACTCCAGCCTGGGTGGAAGAGTGAGTCTCTGTCTCAAAACAAAAAAACAAAACAAAACAAAAAGTTTAAATTTACCGATTTACCTATAGCCTATAGCCTGGAAGCCACCCTCACCCTGACCCCTGCTTTGAATTGTCCCGCCTTTCTGAATCAAACCAATGTGTTTCTTAAATGTATTTGATTGATGTCTCATGCCTTCCTAAAATATACAAAACCAAGCTGAGCCCCGACCACCTTAGGCACGTGTTCTCAGGACCTCCTAAGGGCTATGTCACGGGCCATAGTCACTCATATTGGGCTCTGAATAAATATCTTCAACTATTTTACACAGTTTAACTCTTTTCGTCAACACCTTGTTTTTCCTTATTCTTAGATTATTTGTTTCCCACTTTCTTTTAAGGAGTAACTGAGCTGTGGCCTAGGGTTTTTGTGGAGTAGGTCGAAGTGTAATGGTTGCAGATGAGACTCCACAGTGTGTCACCACTGAATCCTTGCCACCACCCTCTTAGGTGTCTCAGTGTTTTCTCCGGAGGTCTAGCACCTCCAAGAGGGCTCAAAACTCAGAGTGACCAGTTCCTATATGTGCTTCCTGGACGAGCCTTTTTAAAACTAATTTTGTTGTGAGTTCCCTGCAGAATCACTTCATGTCGCTGGGGGCTCAACCCCCCAACACTCCCGCAAGGCCCCCCAGTCACTCGGGTACCTTTCTGCTGGGAGGAGCAAAATGCCCTTTCTCTTTGGAGCTAAGGAAACTCAGTCTCTTATTTATCTATGAAAATGACAGTTCAGTTCCTCACGTGAATGCACACACAAGCCAACGTGTGAGATTAATTTTGGGGGGAAAGGCAATGGAGAAGACTATTTAGAATGCACCTCTGAACTAGAATTAGGATCCTAAACAACAACTTCCCAGGAGGGAAAAAGCCAGCTAAGACCACACTCTGTTTACTGTCCTCAGCCACCCCTAGCTTTGTAGCTTGGTACTGAAGACGGCAAAGGGGGAAGGAGGAATCAGGGTGAAAGAAAAGCAAACAAAAGAACAATTTTTTTTTTTTTGAGACAGCGTTTCACTCTTGTTGCCAGGGCTGGAGTGCAATGGCACTATCTTGGCTCACTGCAATCTCCACCTCCGAGGTTCAAGTGATTCCCCTGCCTCAGCCTCCTGAGTAGCTGGGATTACAGGTGTGTGCCACCATGCCCAGCTAATTTTTGTATTTTTAGTAGGGATGGGGTTTCGCCATATTGACCAGGCTGGTCTCAAACTCCTGACCTCAAGTGATCCACCCGCCTTGGCCTCCCAAAGTGCTGGGATTACAGGCGTGAGCCACTGCGCCTGGCCGGCACTTGTTTTAAAATGTGATGTTCTATAGACTGCAGCAACTTTTTTGGTGAAGTGTGAGTTAATTACAGCTAGAATGTGAGGTCTTAACTGTAAATTCGCTTGTAATTTTGTGAGCAAATTGTGACCTAATAAAGAAACAGGGCAGCTTGGCAGGACTGAAGAGTGGGTAAAGGAATAGCCTTTCATTTTATAAGGGAGTGGCAGTGTGAAACAGCCTCACTGAAGTTTATCAATACCCGTAATGAAATGGAGGACTAGCACATTGGGCTGTAATAAACACTTAAAGCTGAATAACTGGTCCCTGTATCTATTAGGAACATTATCTCTTGTTCAGCCACAATCAGATTTAACAGAGGCTCATCCACAGAGATGGAAAAAATAGGGGCTTGAACGGCCTCAAAGCCCTAGAGGATGACTTTATTTATTTATTTATTTATTTATTTATTTATTTATTTATTTATTTATTTGAGGCAGAGTCTCTCTCTGTCACCCAGGCTGGAGCATAGTGGCACAGTCTCAGCTCATTGCGACCTCCGCCTCCCAGGTTCAAGTGATTCTCCTGCCTCAGCCACCCAAGTAGGTGGGATTACAGGCACCTGCCACCATGCCTAGCTAATTTTTTTTGTATTTTAGTAGAGTTAGGTTTTCACCATGTTGGCCAGGCTGGTCTCGAACTCCTGACATCAGGTGATCCACCCGCCTCAGCCTCCCAAAGTGCTGGGATTACAGGCATGAGCCACTGTGCCCGGCTCCAGGATGACTTTTAGAGACTTGATTATTATCCAGGAATAGAGTTAGAGGTGCTTCTCCCTGCCCTTGCCCTTGTTCTGCCAGACTCCCTTGTCAGGTAGGTTGGTGAGGTTGGGGCTGTGACAGCCCAGAAGGAAGAGATGTCTCCCCACCACGAGAGAGAGAGGGACACTTGCTCTTCCAACTGAAACAGGAGAGTTCCCTGATTCTCCTTGCAGGACATGCAACAGGGGGTGTGGCTCGTCTGTTTGGTCACCCCACTGCTCAAACCCCTGAGGGAAGGGGGAACACACAGATGGACAGGTGCTGGAGCCCAAGTGGGCATATGTTACAGTGTGCTCCTTTAGCCTTGCCATCCAGGGATGCCTGAATGTTAACTTCCCCAGATTCTTGTCTGGCATCCTGGATTAATCAGGTCACATGAACTGTTTGAAAAGTGATACATGCGGAGACTTTATTGAGGAGTGGAGGTGTCTTCCAAAGTTCAGACGCCTCTTCCCTCCCTCTCTGCCATGCTGCTCTGCCACTCTCCAGCGCTCTCTGCCATTCTCTGCCACTCCGTTCCTCCACTCCTCTTGACATTCAGCTGCTTGTGTGTGTGCCCGCCAAGGTCTCGGGTTTATATTGTTATATATAAAGTTTCTGTGCCTCAAAATAAATAGCACTCGAATATAAAATTTTCTGTTCAATTCTCAGCAAGGCAAGGTACTTCTATAAAAGGGTGCAACCTCACAGATGGAGCAATGGTGAGCACACATCTGGACAAGGGAAGGAAAGGGGTTCTTATCCCTGAAGGATGTGGCCCCTGCTGCTATGTCATTCCCCTATTGGCTAGGGTTAGACCACACAGGCTAAACTAATTCCGATTGGCTAATTTAAAGAGAGTGATGGGGTGAGTGCTTTGGCGGGAAAATAATGGTTATGCAGGGCAGAGAATAATGAGTCAGGGTGGAGCAGGTAATCGGAATGAGTCAGGGTGGAGCAGGTAATCGGAGTGAGTCAGGGTGGAGCAGGTAATCGGAGTGAGTCAGGGTGGAGCAGGTAATCGGAGTGAGTCAGGGTGGAGCAGGTAATCGAAAAAGGTTGCTTTATGAGGAAATTAAGTTTAAAAGTAGAAGGCAAAGAATTGAACATACAGACATACTAATTCTTTGAAGAGAAATTTAGAATTCATATTTAACAACTTCCTCCTCTTGCATTTTTCTTACGGCTTTCTCTTCAAACTTATTTAACATGTCTTGACTTAGTTGTTCTGCTTGATTTTCCAAAAGAAGAAGCTTCTCTGGATAAGGTGGAGGATAGTTAAGGGAGGTTTTAGCAAGTGCCGTTTCTACGAGCCTCTGCACCAACCCACGGATGCATGGTATGACACAGCACCCGACAAGAATAAGTACACCTATTACAGCTACGAGGGAGGTAAGAATTGAGGCTATTATTCCTTTCCATTTACCGAACCATTTTTCTAGCCATCCTGTAAAGGGATCATTTACCCCTGAGCTGCTGGCTAACTCACTGGATAGAGCAGTGAGACCTTGCAATGCCTTTGTTATACTTCCATTAGGGGCAATGTTGTTTGGGATGAAGGTGTAACATTGAGTTTTAGTCACGATGCAAACCCCTCCTCTTTCTGCTAATATCATGTCTAAGGCTGTCCTATTTTCCCAAGCCATCTGGCCTGTAGCCCCTACTTGCTCAGCTATTCCTCTAACAGTATCTCTAGTGTAGTTACTAAATCACTGTTGGTTGTAATAGATGTAGTTTATCCAATCTACATGTTTATTAATTGTCACCCACCAAGATATTGACTCAAATCCTGCAGCTATTTGATTCCAGACTTTAAATTGATCTTGTATTCTCCATGGGACCCCAATTGCGTCTAAACAGAAGTGAGAGTCTAAAGACCCATAAGGGGCTTCTCTCACTTTACGATGTCTTATTTTTCCTTCCTCTGGTTGATGAAATGCCAGGGTGAAAGGGATAGCTAGTTGGACTAAAGCACAAGTGCCAATCCAGTTATTCGGCAGAGTGTCCAGTAAAGGTCCACCACAATACCACCACACTTCTGCTAGGGGATGAACAAGGGCTGGCTGATTGGTAAGCTTTTGAAAGTTCTTTTTCTTTTTTTTCGAGAGAGAGTCTCGCTCTGTCGCCCAGGCTGGAGTGCAGTGGCACGATCTCGGCTCACTGCAAGCTCCACCTCCTGGGTTCACGCCATCCTCCTGCCTCAGCCTCCCAAGTAGCTGAGACTACAGGCGCATGACGCCACGCCTGGCTAATTTTTTTTTTTTTTTTTGTATTTTTAGTAGAGATGGGGTTTCATCGTGTTAGCCAGGATGGTCTCGATTTCCTGACCTTGTGATCCGCCTGCCTCGGCCTCCCAAAGTGCTGGGATTACAGGCATGAGCCACCGCGCCTGGCCAAAAGTTCTTAAGCTCACTGCATCCCTTCAGGTCTCCAAGGAACACTAAGTTTCCTCCCTGTCATGAGAGACACGAAGTAAACTTAGTGTTGGGAGATGGAAGCTGGATGGCCCTTGGGGGCTGACCCACAAGGTGTCAAACTTCGGGATATAGCAGAGAGAGAGCTTGGCACAACTTCTTACCCCAGGCTATAGAATCCTGGAAAAGAGCTACCATGCAGCCCATGCCCGGTCAACTGGAGGACCACCCTAGTGGAAAGGGGACAATCTGGGCCTCTGGCCTGCTGTGCGCACAAGCATAACAATTGCTTTTGTTTAACGTGTGGATGAAATATTTGATCCATTCCAACCAAACATTTACATCTTGGTATCCTGTCTCAATTGCCAGTTTGTTTTAAGTCTTTAACTTCTACCATCGCTATCTTGGCCTTGTCGTTAGATAGAGGAGGAACAATGGTTCCGTTGTGAGAGGTTTTGGAAAAAGGCTCAGAGGCAGGTGCAGACAGCAGGGGATCAAAGAAGTGCATTTCAAAGAATCCAATAGGGTCTGTCCCTGAAACTTCAGCCCCCATACCATAAAACTGGCTTAAAGAAGGGAACCAGCTTAGAAAAGAGGAAGAATTTTGTGGGCTCAAAATAATAACCTGTATAGGGTTGCACTGGTTTAGCTGAGAGTTAGTGGGCACTGTCCCTTTAGTAAAACGAATGTATGAATTTAGGAAATTACAAAAACTGGTTGGGGCAATCCATCCTTGCTCTTTAATGGTCCACAGAACTTTGGACCAACTATGGCTTAAAAGCTCTACATCACTGGGGGAAGACTCCTGGTTGCCACTGGGATCTTTATAGAAATCTCCCCAGATTAAATGGTCCCGATTCACTAATGCCTAGTCTGAGGAGAGCCAGGAGGGACAGAGGTATCTGAAGTAGAGAGCTTTCTTTGGCTTGACAAATCCCCACAGGATATAACAAGGCAAGCATCAAATGCAATAGTTGAGGTGAAATTGACTTGGTTATGTTAATAACTATATGGTCAGCAATAGAGTGAGGAAAGAAAAAAGAGTAATAGAATAGATGAAAGGGAGTTAAATTCTTCTTAGCTTTAGTTTAGTAGGGTTTTCCCCTGGGACTATGGCCCACGACTCTGGAGGGGGCGGTGCTTTCTTGACTTGGGTGTGGTGAGTCCATCCTCTCTCTGCTGTGCGGACTGCGGTTTCAGTAGTTAGGAGCACCAAGTAAGGACCTTCCCAGGCTGGCTCAAGCTTCTCCTCTTTCCAGCTCTTGATGAGGACGTGATCCCCAGGCTAATGTTGATGCACCAGGAACTCCAAGGGTGGTGCCTGTGCTAATAGACCTTTAGTTTTAAGAGAGGAGAAAGTAGAACATAGACCAAGTATATAATTTTTAAGGAATTGATCATTTGTTTCAAAGGTAGGAATATCAACAGTGGAGTGCAAATAAGGTAATCCATAGAGCATCTCATAAGGAGAAAGACCAATGTCTTTCCATGGTGCAGTTCAAATTCTCAGCAGGGTGATAGGAAGATACTTGGTCCATGGCAACCAAGTCTGTAAGACTAATTTGGTTAAGTGGTTCTTTAGAGTCTAATTCATTCTTTCTACTCTCCCTGATGAGGGTGGGTGCCAGGGAGTATGGTGTTCCCATCTAATGTCTAATATTTTGGAATAGCTTTTTAATAATGTGTGTGGTGAAATGAGTTCCATTGTCTGAGTCAGTATTTTCCGTTAGTCGAAACCTGGGTACTATATTTTCAATTAGGGCCTCAACTACATTACTGGCTGTTGCATTTGAAAAGGGGATAGCTTCGACCCAGGGAGTGAGGTGGCCTACTATCACTAGTAAATATTTTAGATGATCTATCAGAGGCATTTCTGTGTAATCAACTTAGATACTTTGGAATGGCCTTTAGCCTGGATTCCTTCCCCTGAGAGGTAATCATTTTATAGTATGTCTATTAGTTTTCTTACATACTAAGCAACTATCTGTAACCTGTTTTGCCAGGGTATAAATTCCTATACAACCATAAACTCTGAGAACTGCGTCACACATGGCCTGGGGCCCAAAATGGGTCCCCTGATGTAGTTGGGATACGACTTCCCTCATAAAGGGTTTAGACAACATTTCTCTCTGGTCTGGCAGTATCTACTTTCCTTCTGAATTCTCTTTAGCACCTATTTTTATTAGTTTCTCTTTTTCGGTGGAAGAGAAAATGGGGATTATGGTAGGAGGAGGGAGGTAGGGAGTTAAGTGAAAAACACGCATTTCAGAAGACACAGCAGCCTGCTTGGCTACCTGATCTGCTAGGTTATTTCCTCAACTTTCAAAAGAAAGGCTTTTCTGGTGTCCGGGAACATGGACAATAGCTATTTCTTCCGGCAACTGAAGATTATTCAATGCTTGGGTGAACAGCTCCTTGTGAACAAGGTCTTGACCTTTACTATTAATGAGACCTCGTTCAGTCCAAATTTTCCCAAATGTATGGGCCACTCCAAAGGCATACCTGGAATCTGTATAGATGTGGTTCTGTAAGTACTTTAAGGCTTGGCTGAGTGCAAACAGCTCACACGTTTGAGCAGATCAACTGTTGGGCAATTTTCCTGACTTTATTTCTACAAGAGTTTCTCCAACAATCACTGAATACCCATTGTGTCTTTTTCCCTCAATCACCTGGGAGGAACCATCTATGAGTAAGTGCCGTCCAGTCCAGAAGGGGGTTTCTCCCAGGTCTGGTCAAACCTTTGTATGGTAATCAATTAAATCTAAACATGTGTGTTCCCTCCTTAGATGTGGATTCCCTGTTAGGAAACCTGCTGGGTTGAGTGAATTATCAGTGGTCAATGTTAAATCATCCTTTTCTAACAGAATGGCCTCACACTTTAAGATTCTCAAGTCAGTAAGCCATCTCACTGCTCTCTGGTTTAAGATAGTTCTAACTTGGTGAGGCGTGTTTAATGTCAATTTTCCTCCGAAGGTTAATTTTCTGCTTTCCTCACCTAGTATTGCCATAGCAGCGATGGACTGGATGCGTTGAGGCCATCCACAAGTGACTGGGTCTAAGACCTTTGATGGGAAGGCTACGGGCTGCTGGCGGCCTCTGTGTTCTTGAGTCAGCACTCCCGAAGGTACCCTACTGTCCACATTAGCAAAAAGGTGGAATGGCTTTTCTAGGGAGGGTAAGCCTAAAACAGGGGCAGTTATGAGCCTTTCCTCCAACCTCTCGATTTGATCAACTTCCTCAGAAGTCCACAGGAGACGGTTAGGCTTCTCCTGGGCAAGTTTTTGATAGAACAGTTTACGGGGCAGTGTATATGAGTCAATCCATTAGCGACAGTGTCTGACTGACCCTAAAAATTTCCTGAGTTCTTGTTTAGTTTGAGGCAAGGGTAGGGACACGATTCCCTCAATTCATTCAGGCCCTATTATTCGCTTGCCTACACTTATTAAGTGGCCTAAATATTTAACTTCAGGCTCTACATACTGAAGCTTTCTTTTTGAGACTCATAGCCCCTCAAACTGCAGATGGTTAAGAATATGTGTAGAGAAGTCAGTTACCTTCTCTAGATCTTCACCAGATATAAGAATGTCATCCAGGTACTGAAGAAGGCATATTTGTTCTGGGATGACAACTTTTTCTAGTACTTCTTCTAAAATTTGGCCAAAAAGTTTAGGGGAGTCTGTGAACCCTTGGGGCAAGACGGTCCATCGATATTGTTGTTTCCACCCTGAGTATGGATCCTCCCACTCAAAAGCAAATATATCTCAGCTATCTTCAGCCAGGGGACATGCCCAAAAAGCATCCTTCAAATTTATTATAGTAAACCATTGATGATTATATGGAATCTTGCTAAGAATGGTGTAAGGATTGGTGACAACAGGGTGGGTACTCTGGACTATTTGGTTGATAGCTCTAAGGTCCTGTACTAGCTGGTATGACCCATCTAATTTCTTGACTGGCTGGTAGCAGTCTTGATTTCTTGATTCTTGATTGGGATGTTATAAGGAGACATACAGGGCTCAAGAAGCCCATCCTAAATAAGGCCTTCAATTATAGGTTTCAACACTATCCTACCTTCTAGGGGAATAGGGTATTGCTTCCTTCTTACTACTTCCCCTGGGTTTTTTAGCTTGATGTGGATCGGAGGGACTTAGAGTTTCCCTTGGTTTCCTTCTTTGGTCAAGACATGAGGATTAATATATTTTTCATCTGCGGTGGTGAGTAGGTTTAATGAGGTGAGGAATCCTCTTGGGCTGACTTGTAGACCTATGCCCAACTTTAACATTAAATTCCTCCCCAGTAAATTAGTTCCTGCTTCAGGGATAAACAAGAACTGAATATAAGCTGAGCGATCCTGGTATCTAACTTCAGTGCTTTCTAAAATTTTTGCTCTTAATCCTACACCTTTTACCCTGGAGACTAAAAGTTCCTCTAAGAAGGAGACAACATTAGATGGGGGGAAACAGAGGAGCGAGCAGCCCCCGAATCAACTAAAAAGGTGATAAGCTCATGTTTAGGTCCCACCCCCAAATTTATCAAGGGCTCCTGGTGGGACTCAAGATAAAAGAGACAGAGCCCCTGACCCCGCTATTCTTCCTTGAAAGTCATGAGTGAAAGGGCTTCTTTCTCCTTTCTTAGTTCAGAACATCCTCTCCTGAAGTGGTCTGCTCTTCCACATCTATAGCACCTATTTTGTCCTTCCTCCCCTTAGTTCTGGGATTCTTTAACCCTTCTCCCCCATACTCTTTAGGGGGCTTGGTAGACAAGGACCCTGGTCCTCCAGATGGAGGCTGGGGTTCTTTAAAAGAGGATTCGGACCCTTTATAGTTTCTGGCTCCCTGGAAACTCTATCTAGAAGTACCTGGGTTTGGAGCCATCTGTTGGAAGGTGAAAAACATAAGTTTTGTCTTTTGTTTCGTTTTACTTTGTCCCTTTTCACATACACTTTCTGAGCTTCCCTGAGAAGCTCACTTAAGGGATGGTCTTCCCAATTGTCTATCTTTTGTAACTTTTTTTTTCAAATGTCTGGCCAACTTTTAGTGAAAAATTGGAGTTTCAACATTCCTTGCCCAAGGGGATCATCCAAATTGAGGCCTGCATATTGCCTCATTTGCTCCCTCAGTCTGTCTAGGAATCTCATAGGCCCTTCATCTTTTTCCTGTTGTATATCAAATGCTTTAGAAAGATTTTGGGTTCAGGGTACTGATTCCTGAATTCCTTTTATTATCTCCCTTAGGTCCTGCATATTTTCCCGGTGATCTGCATTGTTATTTTCCCATGGGGGGTCCTGGGCGGGGAATTTCTGGTCCGTGGTAGGAACGTTTTCATTGGGAGGGTGCTCACATTCCCAAACTACCATAGCAGACCTAAGAATCATACTCCTTTCTTACCCTGAAAAGAGGATGCCCAAGATGGACATTAACTTGACCCAAGTGTATAACTGAGGTTCTAAGAATTGGTCAATTTGGTCTGCCACTCTGTAAGGGTCGTCCAGCAGCAGTTTAAGCTCCTTTGTAAAATTCTGGACTTCTGAACTGATTAAGGGAGCATTTACAAAGTCAATGCCCCCCCCCCCGCCCCCAACTTGTGGTACCTCTTTCAAAGGGAAGAGGGTAGGGGCTGACCTCTTAGGTACGGAGGGAAATAGGAAATTCTGAATATCTTTTTTACATTGTTCTACCTCACGCTGGAGTCTTTTTAGAGAGGGGTCTTTAGGTTGGGAGAGAACAGGCTGGTGGGATGGTAATTCCCAACAGTCAGGGTTATAAGGAGGAGGGATAGCGTGAGTAGAGGGGGAATTTGGAACAGGATCTGAGGTGGCAGTGGTGATCTGAGGTGGCAGTGGCTGTCTGAGGGGAAAGTTTGGGGACACTGAGTGGGGGAAGATGGTCTAGGGGATACCATGCAGCACTGGAGTCTTTAGGCATGAGAGCTGGCTCCTCTGACTTTTCATTTTGAGGTGCCAGATTGGGTTCTTCCCTATTTATTTTTAAGAGAAATAGGAGGGCAGGTCCTTGCCTCCAACAAAGGGCATAGCCTAGTTCTTCTTGAGACACTGGACTTTTATCATTAACGTATCGGATTAGAAGCTGACACATTACATTCTCATTTGACCCAAACTTTGACCAGAAGATTGAGGGACTGAGGATGGGTCCCTGACTCCAAATAAAACAGCAATATTTTACCATTTGTTGCTTTTTCCTATGTGTATCCTTTCATTATCCTTCCAGTGTTTTAGCATGAGACCTAGGGGGCCATCTGGAGGGATATCTTTGTTACCATGTTTATCCCCCTTGCTCCCTGTCTTGCTTGGGATATTTCCCATCTTGATGGTTTTGGGATAAGGTTCAAGGTTCACTTTCCCTTACTGGAAATTTCTTACCTTTTGGGGTGAGGCTCAATTTCCCCACTGGAAATTTCTTGCCTTTTCTACTACTGGAGGTTTGTGTGAGGTTCAATCTCCGCCAATGGGGATGTCTCACCTCTTTTTAACCTCTAAGCCACCCTGACCAAGGAGTACTTCACCGCCCACCACCCCCGTGGCTTTCTTACCTTGGTCCCGACCACCAAGGAAATACTTTACCAGCTCCCGCGGCTTCTCCTTCCTTGCTCTGTGCGCAGAGTCGTCGCTGCAGTATGTGAGGATTCTTTAAGCTAGGTTGCCGGCCAGTTTTCTTCCCCCCTGTTGCTGACAGCTCGGGTTGTTCCTCGCACTGGGTGGGTTCTGATTTCTCCCGGCTGAGGCCGCCACAGGGGGCGGAGCGCTCCTCACAAGAGAGAACCAGAGACTGCCCCAGAGGGAAATGTAATCAGGGCGAGCCCCCAAATTGTTACATATAAAGTTTCAGTGCCGCAAAAGAAATAGCACTCGAATATAAAATTTTCTTTTTAATTCTCAGCAAGGCAAGGTACTTCTATAGAAGGGTGCACCCTCACAGGTAGAGCAATGGTGAGTGTACACCTGGACAAGGGAGGGAAAGGGGTTCTTATCCCTAATGCACAAGGCTCCTGCTGCTGTGTCGTTCCCCTATTGGCTAGGGTTAGACTGCACAGGCTAAACTAATTCCAATTGGCAGATTTAAAGAGTGTGACAGGATGAGTGCTTTGGCGGGAAAAAAAAATGGTTATGCAGGGTGGAGAATAATTAGTCAGGGTGGAGCAGGTAGCAAGTAACCTGCAAGAGTCAGGGTGGAGCAGGTAATCGGAATGAGTCAGGGTGGAGCAGGTAATCGAAAAAGGTTGCTTTACGAGGAAGTTAAATTTAAAAGCAGAAGTCAAAGAATTGAACATACTGACATATTAATTCTTTGAAGAGAAATTTAGAATTCATATTTAACAATATGGACACAGGAAGGGGATGTGGTGGGCCAGAGTGGTCTTGGAAAATACAACATTCAGGCATGAAAACAGGAGTGCCTGTTCTTACTTAGGTCTGTGGGCACAGGCCCAAGGGTGGAGCCCTCACCAGGAACCCTGCATTTCTGTACCCAGCACTCCCCTGCCCCCCTTCCATATCACAATGACCCTCTTGTTTGCAATGAGGACAAGGTCCTGGGGGTGGCTTGTAACCCAAAGGTATGGAACATCCTCTACTCCAGTGTCCTGGATTCCTGCAATGATGCTGTCTGTAATAATTTTGCAAAGGTGGTTTCAATGCCTTAATATCAGCAAGAGACTCATGTTCAGGTTATGATAAAAGATTGTGGAGACCAAGGTTCTTTTGAAGTCTTATGTTCGCTGCCCTTAGAGACAACAGATGGCAAATGTTTCCTATTCAGACCATCAAAAGGTGTTAGACTCTTAGTTAATCTCTTCAGGATTGGGAGGGCCTGGAAGAAAAAGATCCAGCTATGTTAATAGAGATTCTTTACAGATGCAAATTTTCAGCACCGTGAGTTTTGATATGCATGCATTCCAGAGATGCATAGAAATTCTAGTTACTTATAAATTTGGGGGAAAGAAGCCTGGAATGAGATGCCTGCTTTAGATAATAGGGAAGTCTAATTGCTTCTGAATAAGGAGTTCTGATAAGGAGTTTTGTCTCTGAATGGTCTGCTTGATGGTCACCAGGTATAACTTTGCTCTCCCCAGTGGCCAAATCTGAGAGTTGTGTACATAGGCAAAAACAGAGAAGCTGAACAAAGGGGTGAGGAGAGCAAAAATCACCTGGTGACCCTGAAGCAGCCCGAGACAAAAACTCCTTATCTGAGGAATTTAGAAGTATAATCGTTACCGGAAAGGGGTCCCAATCCAGACCCCACAAGAGGGTTCTTGGATCTCACACAAGAAAGAATCCAGGGCAAGTTCACAGTGCAAAGCAAAAGAAAATTTATTAGTAAAGTAAAGGAATAAAAGAATGGCTACTCCATAGGGTTGCCCATTTTTATGGTTATTTCTTGATTATGAGGACTAAGCTCTGATCTTTTTATTTTGCTGAAATTCCTATCTAAGGGGTCTGGGGAGTCATGCCCTACAAACCATAAATTCTCATCAGATGGGTTTTATTTAAACCTATATATCTGACTTGCTTTCCAATCTGACTCTGGCATAACATTATGTGACAAAGAAGAAAGCAAAAATATTTTACCCAAAAACATGTTTCTTTGCCATATCTTGAAATGGCCCTGCAAAGCTGTCCTTTGTGGGGGGAAATCTGCATCTGTAAATAATCTCTATTAATATAGCTAGATCTTTTTCTTCCAGGCCCTCTGAGATTAACTAAGAGTCTGGCAGCCTTTTTTTTTTTTTTTTTTTTTTTTTTTTTGAGTCTAGCAGCTTTTAAAAGTCTGAATAGGAAACATTTGTCATCTATTGTCTCTAAGGACAGCCACTATAAGACTTCAAAAGAACCTTGGTCTCCACAATGTTTTATCTTAACCTAAACATTTCCCTCCTATTGATCCCAGGTCTTTAGACAAATTCAACCAATTGTCAACCAGAAAATGTTTAAATTTACCTATAGTCTGGAAGTTCCCACTTTGAGTTGTCCCACCTTTCTGGACCAAACCAATGTGTTTCTTAAATGTATTTGATTGATGCCTCGTGCCTCTCTAAAATGTATAAAACCAAGCTGCGCCCGAACCACCTTGGGCACATGTTCTCAGGATCTCCTAAGTGCTGTGTCATGGGCCATGGTCACTCGTATTTCGCCCAAAATAAATCTCTTCAAATATTTTACAGAGTTTGACTCTTCATCGACATATCTAAAGTTGGCATCTGGTTCCAGGGGTCTTTCAAAAATTTTGTAGTAACCAGAATTTCTATGCGAAACTCACTGTGCAATCCTTGCTGACATTAAGGCACCAAAATAACTACAAATGTAACCATTTATCATAACCTACGTGGCTAGTATGCTCCAAATTACCCTCAAGCTTTTGCCTTAAGGTTCATATATGCGCCTAAGGAATATCCACCACAGCCCTCTCAGTCCCCTCTTGCTGAGGCACCTCGCTGCACTCTTCTGCAATGTTCTTTCTTTCTAATAAAACTTTACTTTTCAAACCTATACTGTTGTTGGTAAATTCTTCTTATCAGCCCTTGAGTTGACCACTTTCTGATGCCGGGGCTCTGACATTTCAACCGGCAAAGGCTGAAATGTAGTTACAAAGATTTGATTTGCTACTCCCTACTTTCTGAGGGGTTGCTTAACATTCCATTGTAAAGAGGTAACAGTCACAAGAGGCTCTTTTTCACATACCGTTATGTCCAAGTTTGAATGAGAAATAGGGAACAATGGTTAAAGGTGTAGAGATAGAGTTAGGAAAATTGCCTAATAATTGGTCTGCTCAAACGTGTGAGCTGTTTGCACTCAGCCAAGCCTTAAAGTACTTACAGAACCAGGAAGGAACCATCTATACCAATTTTCAGTGTGCCTTTGGAGTGGCTCATGCATGTGGAAAAATTTGGACTGAACCAGGTCTTATTAATAGCAAAGGTCAAGACCCGGTCCACGAGGAATTAATCACCCAAGTATTAAATAACCTTCAGTTGCCAAAAAAATAACTATTGTCCATGTCCCCGGACACCAAAAAAGCCTTCCTTTAATTAAAATTCCAAACTTACAAGGTTTTCAACAGAAGTAAAATTTGCTAAAAGTTAACAGTGTAACATGTATTATCCTAACTTCTAATCTTGTGGCCTTAGGCAGTCTAGTCCACAGACATGAGGGAAGTTTGCTTTGGGAAAAAACAATTATCATCTTTGACATTAAGAAAAAAGGAGAATTTATGTAAAAAGAATCTTATACGGTAAATTCTCATCCTAAAATAAATTAACTGGTTGTTTAAAGAAAGGAATGTTCACAAGTCAGAAATTTAAGTCATGTCAAAGATGGTCTGTGAAAGTCGTGGAAAATGTTATAAAAGGGAATTTATGCAAGAAATGTTGTATAATTTAAAAGTAATTAGGCCTCCTGAATGTAAAACTATTGAAGAAACAGTTTATGTTCAAGGCGTGTAAGGAAAGTAAAATATACTTTTGGTAAAAGGATTATAAGAAGGCATAAGAATGTGGATTTTTACCTACATTAAAAGGTTAAAAAATTGTTTTGAAGGTTTAAGCAAGTTTTGAAATGTTAATTGTAAAGGAATTTCTGTGTGTAAACATATTGGCTAAAGTTAAAGGGGTGTCATCCAGTTTTTCTGTGAACTGGACATTAAAATAAAAGCACAACAGGTTTTTCTTAAAGTACTAACCTGCTCTTTAACAAAAATTATGAAGCGTTAGAAAGAGTCTATAACAATTTTACCTTATGGTCAGACATTAAAATTGAATAAATATGTCTACAAGATTTTATTAAAATTGAGTTTAACATTAATAGCACACTAATATAAAGGTGAAATTTAGCTTATCTGGTATAAAATCACACAGGAAGCATTATCAAATATAAAATGGTGTTTGGCTTTCTTTGGTTTAAAAACTAATAAAAATAGGTGCTAAAGAGAATTCAGAAGGAAAATGGATATTGCTAGACCAGAGAGAAATGTTATCCAAACCCCTTATGAGGGAAGTCTTATTCCAACTGCATTAAAGGACCCATTGGAGGCCCCAAGCCTCGTGTGACACATTCATCAGAGTTTATGGGTGCATAGGATTTATACCCTGGCCAAACAGGTTACAGACAGTTGTTTAGTAAAACATTACCCCTTGGGGGAAGGAGTCCAGGCTTAAGGCCATTCCAAAGTATCCAGACTGACTACACAGAGATGCCTCCAACTGATCATCTGAAGTATTTATTAGTATAGTAGATCACCTTACTCATTGGATAGAAGCTATTTCCTTTTCAAGTACAACTGATAATAACATAGACAGGGCATTAGTTGAAAATCTTATACTCAAGTTTAGATTAATAGAAAACATTGATTCAGATAATAAGACTCATTTCACTGTACATGTCATTAAGAAATTAGCCCAGATACTGGATATAACATGGGAATATCATACTCCCTGGCACCTACCTTCATCAAGAAGAGTGGAAAGAATGAACCAAACTATTTTTTAAAAAAGCCCTTTGGCAGGAGAATGGCGTGAACCCGGGAGGCGGTGCTTGCAGTGAGCCGAGATCGCGCCACTGCGCTCCAGCCTGGGCTACGGAGAGAGACCCTGTCAAAAAAAAAAAAAAAAAGCCCTTTGGGAGGCCAAGGCGGGTGGATCACGAGGTCAGGAGTTCGAGACCAGCCTGGCCAATATGGTGAAACCCCATCTCTACTAAAAATACAAAAATTAGCCAGGCATGGTGGCGCGTGCCTGTAGTCCCAGCTACTAGGGAGGCTGAGGCAGAAGAATCACTTGAACCCGGGAGGTGGAGGTTGCAGTGAGCTCAGATGGCACCATTGCACTCCAGCCTGGGCGACAGAGCGAGACTCCCTCTCAAAAAAAAAAAAAAAAAAAAAAAAAAGGCCACCTAACCAAATTAGTCTTAGAGACTCGGTTGCCATGGATAGATGCTCTCCCATTGCCCTCTTGAGAGTCTGAACTGCTCCTCAGAGAGATGTTGGCTTATCCCCTTATGAAATGTTGTGTAGGTTGCCCTGTTTACACTCCACTGCTGACATTCCTATGTTCAAAACAAAAGATGAGTTTCTCAGAAATTATATACTTGGTTTATTTTCCACTTTCTCTTCCCTCAGAACTAAAGGTCTTTTAGAACAGGTACCACCCCTACAGTTTCCAGTACACCAACATCAGCTTAAGGACTGTGTCCTTGTCAAAAGTTGGAGGGAAGGGAAACTCGAACTGGCTTGGGAAGGACCCTACCTGTTGCTTCTAACCACCGAGACCACAGTTCAAACAGCAGAAAGAGGATGGACTCATCACACCTAGGTCAAAAGAGCACCACCCCCTCCAGAATCATGGACAGCTATTCCAGGGCCAACTCCAACCAAGCTAAAGCTAAAACGGGTTTGATCCTCTTACATTCCATCTCTTTCTTTTCCCCTTCTATTGCTAGTCTTCTCGTTCTTTATGTAACAAGTTCGCCCCAAACTATTACTTTTGATGCTTGCCTTGGGATGACCTGTGGAGATCTGCCAAACCAGAGGCAACTCTCCCCTTCAGAAAAGTATCTTTGTCCTTCCTGGCTCTCCTCAGACTGAAAATCTGTTAACTGGGATCAGTTAGTCTGGGAAGATATTGATGATGGTCCCAGTATGAACTAGGAATCTTGCCCTCCTAGAACAGAACTTTTAGCTGGTCTAATGGCTTATGGACTACCAAGGAGCAAGGATGGACCACCCCATTGTCAGATGAACCAATGTAATCCAGTACAGATTACCACCTCTGCTCCCCAGAGTACCGTTTCTATGGTATAGGAGCAGAAGTCTCAGGGAAGGACCCCAGAGGATCCTTTGAAATGTGCTTCATTGCCTCCTCAACTCCTGCACCCCCTTCTCCCACTCCTAAGTTCTCCACTAACCAGATCTTCTTTCGTTATATACCCAATGATAAAACCAAAGTAGCTGTTGTAGAAGTTATAGATTTAAAACAAACTATAGCAATTGAAACAGAGTACCAGGATGTAAATGCTTGGCTGAAATGGATTAAATATTCTGTTCGCATGCTAAACAAAAGTGACTGCTTGTGCGACAGGCAGGCCAGAGACCCAAATTGTCCCCTTTCCCCTCGAGTGGTCCTCTCATGGACAGGGCATGAGCTGTATGGTAGCTCTCTTCCAGAACCCCACAGCCGGGGCAATGAGTCAGGCAAAACTCTTTCACTGCTGTTCGCTTTCACTGCTCTTCCCCGAGGTCAAGAGCCCTGTGGGTCAGCCCGGAGGGCCATCCAGCCTCCAGCCCCTGATGTTAAGTTCACCTGTCCCTTTCACGGCAGGGGGAAAAGTTAGCATTCCTTGGAGACTTAACAGGGTGCGGTGAAACCAAGCCTTTTCAAGAGCTTACCCATCAGTCTGCCCTTGTTCATCCCTGAGCAGGTGTGTGGTGGCATTGAGGGGCACTATTGCTGGATACTCTGCCAAGCAATTAGAGCAGCACTCGTGCTCTAGTCCAATTGGCCATCCCTTTCACTCTAGCATTCCGTCAACATGATAAAAAAGAAAATTGTAAAAGAAGTGCCTTACATGAGTCGTTTGACCCCCATGTTTATATAAACATTACTGGAGTTCCACTAGGAGTACCAGATGAATTTAAAGCCCGAGATCAAATAGCTGCAGGATTTAAGTCAATATTTTCATGGGTGACGATTAATAAAAATGTAGACTGGATAAATTACATCTATTATAATCAGCAGCAGTTTATTAATTACACCAGGGATGCTGTCAAAGGGATAGCAGAACAATTGGGGCCCACTAGCCAGATGGCCTGGGAAAACAGAATGGCACCAGATATGATATTAGCAGAAAAAGTGGTGTTTGTATTATGATTAAAACTCAGTGTTGTACCTTTATCCCAAATAACACTGCCCACACTGGGAACATAACAAGGGCCTTATAAAGACTTACCACTCTATCCAATGAACTAGCTAAAATTCTGGAGTCGATAACCCTTTCTCAGGGTGGCTAGAAAGGGGGTTCAGTAAATGGAAAGAAATCACAGCCTCAATTCTTACTTCTCTTGCAGCCGTAATAGCTGTACTCATTCTTGTTAGGTGTTATGTCATACCATGCATCTGTGGGCTAGTGCAAAGACTTATAAAAGCAGCACTTACTAAAATCTTCCTTAACTCACCTCCACCTTATTCAGATAAGCTTTTTCTTTTAGAGGATTAAGTCGAGCAGCTAAGCCAAGACATGTTTAAAAAGTTTGAAGAGGAAGTACTATGAAAATTGAAAGGGGGAAATTGTAGGATATAACAAATTCCTTTTCAAATGTTTCAGCCTGTAAATTGTTAAGTACAATGAGTTCTGAGATCCTCTCCAAGGAACCAATGTATGAGTATATTCAGGTCCCCTGTTCTTTGTTCTCCATTTTAAAGTTTAACTTTCTCATTCTCTTTGCCTCCTTGCCCCTAGTTTCAGTAAACAACCTTTTCCACCAGTTCTAATCAGTAGTTCACATCTATTCCCCTGATCACCTGCTCCTTCTTGAGTCACCCCTGGTCACCTGCACTGACCTGAGTCACCTTTAGTCACCTGTTCCTAACTGTCCTTCCCGCCAAACTACTCACTCCGCTACTCCGACTCGTACCCCTGCTCTCTTTAAAACAGCCAATCGGAATTAGCTTAGACTGTGTGGTCCAATCCTAGTCAACAGGGGAACCACACAGCAGTAGGGGCTACCTGCATCAGGAATAAAAACCCCTTCCCCTCCCTTGTTCAGGTGTGCTCTCACCATTGTTCCATCCACAAGTCACACCCTTCTATAGAAGTAAAATTGCCTTGCTGAGAAAATTAAATTTATGTTCGAGTGCTATTTCTTTTGCAGCACTGAAAATTTGCGCCTAACAAAGGTGTTGTAAGAGTTCAAGAAAGAGGAAAGAAACATGAAAAGAGGCTCAACAGTCAAAGACAGGTTTATTTTGAAGAATAAACCTGAGAGGGGCCTCTGTCCAATTTCAGTCAGGAATGCTCTCTCTTACATACTAAGGGTATTTACTGGTTTCTGGGTAAGAGAGCTTATCACAGGCTTGGAATGTTCCTGTGTAGGGGAGAAGTCTATTGAGGGTTGGAATGTCTCTGGTTGGAAGGGACGGTATCTTGGGGCTGACATCTCTCCACCTGGAGGGGAGGTTATCTTGGGGCTGGCACGTCTCTGGTCGGGGAGGGCTTTAACTTATGGTTGGAATGTTTCTGGTCAGAGATGTCATTTGTGGTTTATGGTCATGCTGACCTTAGCCATTAGGCTGATGCCCTTTGGATTTAGGTGGTTTTTGATCAAGGGGAACTTTAGAATGGCAGTGCTTGTCCAAGATGGCAATGCTCCTGCTCTGTCAATCCAGACCTTATAGTTATAAAAAGGATGAAAGGCAGGGTGTTCTTTCTGGCTACTTCCTGCTGATGAGGGGACAGAGTTTTCTGGTCTTGGATTAACTGTAGCAGTAACGCTGTCTGTGGATGTTTTTGGGTAGTTGTCTGTGAAATGGCCATGATCCTGTCAGTTAAAAATCTTTGAAAAAGGTTAATTAGGCAGGGTAAGAACATTAGTCCTAGGCATATTATTAGGAAAGGTCCCAGGAATGGGATGACCCATGCTATGATTTTGTTCCTAAACCAAGAATCTATTTGGTTGTTTTGGTATAGCCCTTTCCTTAAGTTTTTCAACAGCACCTCTTACTAGGCCTAATTGGTTGATATAGAAACAACATTCCTCACCCAATGACAGGCAGAGGCACATGTCTGGAAAGGCCCATGTGTTATTTGCTGTTAGTAACTGTTATTCCTGCTATGAGGATAATAATTAAGCAAAATGGTACCATAATTGAGATTCTCTGTCTGATATTCCATCCTGAGGGTGCTGTAGTACATAGTCCCACTGCAAATAATAGAGTGTGTAAAGCAGTTCCCACAATGGTGGTGTAGTGAATAATTTCCATTAAAAAGTTTTAATATTTGTCTTAAAAGGAGAGGTAGGAACATCTAAAAGTATTTGGTGAGGTAGGGGTGAGACTGAGTAAGATAAGTAGTTCTCACTCAGTTACTTACCTTTTATGAGCTTAAAATTTCCTATTTCTTTACACTGATATTTAGGATGTTCCTTTGGCTATCAGGGGTTGCTTCCTCAGCTTTCCAGGCTTTGACTCGAGTGTAATGTATCCAGATGTTGATTCCTGTTTTTTTGTTTTGTTTCGTTTTTTAAGATGGAGTCTCGCTCTGTCGCCAGTCTGGAGTGCAATGGCGCGATCTCGGCTCACCACAACTTCCACCTCCTGGGTTCAAGTGATTATCATGCCTCAGCCTCCCGAATAACTGGGATTACAGGCATGCACCACCATGCCCAGCTAACTTTTTTATATTTTTGGTAGAGATGGGGTTTCACCATGTTGGCCAGGCTGGTCTCAGACTCCTGACCTCAAGTGATCCACTCACCTTGGCCTCCCAAAGTGTTGGGATTACAGGCGTGAGCCACCGCACCTGACCCAGAAGTTGATTCTTGTAAGAGATGCCATCTCAATTACCCTGGGTTCCATGGACTTATTAGATGTGGGGGCAAAGGATTCCAGGCACGCTCAGTTATTAGTTGTCAGCTCCAGCAGTGAAGAGGTTTCCTCCTGTGATGGCTGGGGGGCGTTTAGAGGCAGTGCCTGCTGAAACGTCTAGTTTTCAGTTCATAGGGCTTTAAGAAAACAAAGCTTATTTTGGAAACTCGTAGTCAGAAAAATTAGAATTTAATTTAAAGTAATAAAAATTGAACAACATTAGGCAACACTGGAATTTAATAACAGGTGTGTTATAGTTTCTGAAATGTAATTTTCTCTCTCCAGTTTCCCATTTTTTCCCCCCCAAGATGGAGTCTCGCTCTTGTCACCCAGGCTGGAGTGCAGTGGTGCAATCTAAGCTCACCGCAACCTCTGCCTCCCGGGTTCAAGTGATTCTCCTGCCTCAGCCTCCCGAGTAGGTGGGATTGCAAGCACCCACCACCACGCCCAGCTAATTTTTGTATTTTTGTAGAGACAGGGTTTTGCCATGTTGGCAAGGCTTGTCTCAAACTCCTGACCTCAGGTGATCTACCTGCCTCGGCCTCCCAAAGTGCTGGGACTACAGGCGTGAGCCACCACACCCAGCCAAGAATAATTATTTGTTACGTAGGCCTTAAAAAAAAAAGTTAACAGTGTAACATGTATTTAAGACTATTGAAAAAACAGTTTACATATACTTTTGGTAAAAAGATTATAAGGAGGCATGAGAATGTGGATTTTTACCTAGATTAAAAGGTTAAAGAATTGTTTTAAGTTGAATAAAATAAAAATGAAGGTTTAAGCAACTTTTGGAAGGTTAATTGTAAAGGAAATACTGTGTGTAAACATCTTGGCTAAAGTTAAAGGTGTATCATCCAGTTTTTCTGTAAATTGAGTATTAAAATAAAAGCACAATGGGTTTTTCTTAAAGCACTAACCTGCTCTTTGACAAAAATTATAAAGGGTTAAAAATGGTCTATAGGCCAGCCGCAATGGCTCACGCCTGTAATCCCAGCACTTTGGGAGGCCGAGGCAGGCGGATCACGAGGTCAGGAGATGAAGACCATCCTGGCTAACACGGTGAAACCCCATCTCTACTAAAAACACAAAAAATTAGCCAGGCATGGTGGTGGGCACCTGTAGTCCCAGCTACTCAGGAGGCTGAGGCAGAAGAATAGCTTGAACCCAGGAGGTGGAGGTTGCAGTGAGCCAAGATTGCTCCACTGCACTCTGTCGCCCACGACAGAGCGAGACTCTGTCTCAAAAAAAAAAAAGGGTCCATGAAAATCTGACCTTATGATCAAAACATTAAAATTGAGTTTAACATTAATAACACACTAATATAAAGGTAAAATTTGGCTTATTTGGTATGAAGTCATACAGGAAGCATTGTCAAATATAAAATAATGTTTGGCTTTCTTTGGGCCATATTTGTATAAATATGTTATTGGTATGTGTTCCAAAGTTATGGGAGACTCCTATAATTCTGATATGTCTTAGTGTGTGTTATCAGTAGTAATTATAATTGTTATGTTAAAATTATTGTGTGCCACAGAAGTAACAGATTTCCTTGTCAATTGTGTCTTTAACTATGGCTACCCTAAAACTTTTGGTCATCCATAAACAATTGTTGTCTTGTTTTGATCCTCTTTAGAAGGGTTTTATACTCAGCTATAAAGCTCTAACAGGTGTTCTTGAATGCAGGTTTCTGATAAATTTGGAGATTGTGACATCAGAATACAGGAAAAATGGTTAGGACTCTTAGCTAAAATGTTCATTAATATCAAGCAGGACAGGAATTAACTGCACGAACTGAACTAATAGGAGACTGGAGTGATCTTTTTGATATTTTGCTTAAAATATTGCTAATACTTTGTTTTGCTTTTCAAAGTCAAAGAAACTTTTCTTTATTTTATTTTATTTTTAGACGGAGTTTCGCTCTTGTTGCCCAGGCCAGAGTGCAATGGTGCAGTCTCGGCTCACCACAACCTCCTCCTCCTGGGTTCAAGCGATTCTCCTGCCTCAGCCTCCTGAGTAGCTGGGATTACAGGCATGTGCCACCACCACACCCAGCCAATTTTGCATTTTTAGTAGAGATGGGGTTTCTCCATGTTGGTCAGGCTGGTCTCTAACTCCCGACCTCAGGCGATCCGCCCGCCTCGGCCTCCCAAAGTGCTGGGATTACAGGCATGAGCCACTGCATCCGGCCTCGAAATTTTTCTTTTGAGCTATTAACAGCTTTTAACAATTTAGTATACTCCCATGAACAAAATTTGTAGCATACTTGTTTCTCTCTCCCTGATTTTCTCCAGAATTTGGAAACTATCTGTGAGTATTCTTAAGTTATGGCGATATAGTTATTTGCACAAGTGTAATAAGAATCTGTTTTCTTTTGTAACAGGACACAATTGGAAAAACTGGTTTTTTTACCAAGGCCTTGACTGGAATGGTATGCTTTCCTTTAAGGAATCAAACTTGATTTACGAAGCCAAGAAAGCCCTTGGAAACTGGCCTTATATTTTGTGTACACAGTCCCTGTATAGGGCTTCTGATCTGTGGTAAGCAAAGAATGCCCTTTCTGAGAGGCCGGGAACCCTAGGTTATCTTGCAACCTCAAGAGGAAACTCATAGGTATTTAATGGTACAATTCCACGGCTAGCCTCAGCTTTACAGTCTTATCTTAGATTCTTTCTATGGAACAATACATGTTACACTGTTAACTTTTAGCAACTTTTACTTTTGTTAGTCAGTTTGAGATTGTAATTATGTACTAGATGTAGAGCCTAGGACCTAGACAGAAGTGCAGATAAGGTCTGACTTATTCCAGCATTTAACTCCATGTGTGCTAGGTCTTACCCAGCTACAAAGCAGGCAAGTTGTACAGTTAAGAGTTATGGTGGCATTTTATAAAGCATTCAGGAGGCCTAGTCGCTCTTGTTTTTGTTTTCTTTAGATGGAATGTCACTCTTGTCGCCCAGCCTGGAGTGCAGTGGTGCAATCTCAGCTTACTGCAACCTCTGCCTCTGGGTTCAAGCTATTCTGCCTCAGCCTCCCGAGTAGCTGGGATTACAGGCACCCACCACCATGCCCAGCCAATTTTTTGTATTTTTAGTAGAGACAGGGTTTCATCTTGTTGGCCAGGCTGGTCTCCAACTCCTGACCTGAGGTGATCCACCCGCGTTGGCCTCCCAAAGTGCTGGGATTACAGGCGTGAGCCACCGTGCCCGGCCCCCTCATCACTTTTAAACTGTACAACATTTCTTGCATAAATTCCCTTTTATAAAATTTTTACAATTTACACAATCTCTGACATGCCTCAACTTTCTGACTCGTTGTAAACATCCTTCTTTTTAAACAACCAATTCATTTACTTTAGAACAAGAATTTACCATATAAGATTATTTTTATATAAATTCTCTTTTCTTTAATATCAAAGATGATAAGTCCTTTCCCTAAAGAAACTTCCTTCACGTCTGTAGACTAGACTTCCTAAGGCCACAGGATTAGAAGTTAGGGTATTTAACTAAATAGTTCAAGATATAGCTGCCTTTATTAAACCAATATTGATGTTTCATTATTAAAAAATTATACAAGCAAAGATTATTCTGTTTGGATTGAGTTATAGTTTTGTACCCTCTATGCCAAATTTTGACACCTTATAGTATTTGGCAGAGATAAGTATGAAATTGTGGCCAGGCACAGTGGCTCATGCCTGTAATCCCAGCACTTTGGGAGACCAAGGCAGGCAGATCACCTGAGGTCAGGAGTTCGAGACCAGCCTGGCCGCTGCACTCCAGCCTGGGCGACAGAGTGAGACTCCGTCTCAAAAAAAAAAAAAAAGAAGAAGAAAGTGGCCATCCTGCAAGCCACATAACTCACACTCTGCAAGGCTTAACTTCTCCCTTGGCATCATAAATTTAGAGTCCTGCAATTTTTTTTTAACAGATCCAAAGTATTTGGTACTATAGAGAAGGGAAACATGGCTTCCCTCCACCTTTCATGGTTCTTTGGCTGGGCTATGAATTAAATTGACATGAAACTGAGTAACAGGAGAGAAACCATATTTAATTACATATCTGTGCGTGGAAATCCCACAAAATATGAGACTCAAAGAAGGGTCAGATGATTGAAGTTTAAGGAATAGGGTCTTAGGGCTTTGGGGGATTGGCGGAGACACAGTTATGGGAGGGTGAGGGGAAGAATTATTGTATGGTAAATAATGGTTGTCTTCCTGTGCAGATAAAAGTCTGTCTGGTGGCCAGTGTAGTGGCTCAAGCCTGTAATCCCAGCACTTTGGGAGGCAGAGGCAAGAAGATCACCTGAGGTCAGGAGTTCGGGACCAGCCTGGCCAACATGGTGAAACCTTGTCTCTACTACAAATACAAAATTAGCTGGGCATGGTGGCGTGCGCCTATAATCCCAGTTACTTGGGAGGCTGTGGCAGGAGAATCACTTGAACCCGGGAGGCGGAGGCTGCAGTGAGCCGAGATTGCAGCATTGCACTCCAGCCTGGGCAAAAAAAAGTGAAATTGTATCTTAAAAAAAAAAAAAAAAAAGAAAGTCTCTAGGGTAATTCTTCTGGAGCAGCCTTTTTCCTGATACAGGCACCTTTACTAATGTAGATTTCCTTGATAGATGTAAATTTCTTTTACCAAAGAATAGCTTTCCAGAGCTACTCCTGTGTCTGCAGTTTCTCTGAATAACCAGCTCAAAGTATGTCAAAGAGGTGTATTTGGGGGTGGCACATTCTGGTTTCCCAGAGTCATATTTTGGGGGTGTGTATGTCCTGAGCCCCAACAGTGGCAACACTTCCTGAACACCTGCCTGCTAAGCGAGGGGTCTGGCCCCTTCCCTAGTGCCTGCTCACCTCTCGCCCCAAGCATTAGCCTGGAGAGTGATTGATTGCTTGTTAAGTAAATGAATGTCTTGGAAAATAACACAACAGGCAGGCCAGAATTATTTGTAGAAGTCAATATGCACTGAGCATTTACTAGGTGTCAGAATCTGTGCAATATGTTTTACATCCATGGAGGCACCAATTTGAGTCTGCATTCACATCCTGGCCCTGCACTTACAGGCCGTAGCACTGTGAGCAACCACTTTTGTAAAGTTAATGAGAGGCCATCAGGCTGGGGAAAGAAGAGGAGCCTGGGTCCTCCTAAGGTGTAGACATAAATGATTGCCAGCCATTATTCTGGAGGTTATAAGATATGCAACTTCCCCAATTACTCCTGCAAATAACACCACTGTTGCAGGTTGGCCTTTTGAGATATCTTTCCAGTTGGTGTTTTTTTTTTGTTTTTTGTTTGTTTGTTTGTTTGTTTTTGTTTTATTGAGACAGAGTCTTGCTCTATTGTCCAGGCTGGAGTGCAACGGCGCGATCTCGGCTCACTGCAACCTCCGCCTCCCGGGCTCAAGCAATTCTCCTGCCTCAGTCTCTCCAGTAGCTGGGATTACAGGTGTCCGCCATCATGCCCGGCTAATTTTTGTATTTTTAGTGGAGACAGGGTTTCGCCATTTTGGTCAGGCTGGTCCTGAATTCCTGACCTCAGGTAATCCACCCGCCTCGGCCTCCCAAAGTGCTGGGATTACAGGCATGACCCACCACGCCCCGCCATCTTTCCAGGTTTTTTGCAGATTTGACACCCATGGCTCCACCTAAACCTGATGTCTCCACCAGGACCGCCAACCCTGCTCCTGTGGCCCCCCCCCCAAAAGCGATTCAGCCTGTAGGAGCACAGCTTCAACCCCCTATGATTTCATCTCCACCCCAACCAATCAGCAGCAAGCACCTGTTACCTGGCCACCCCCAACTCTTCCCCTATACTGCCTTTGAAAAACCCCTCACCTACAAGCTTTGAAGATGATTTGGGAACAAACTCATTTCCCCTGTGGCATGGCCAGCCTCATGGTCTTTCTTTATGCAGTGGGCAGAAAGAACCCCTCAGGTGGTTACAGTATTTGTCAGGGTAGCTCAGTGTGCATCAGAGACCAGTTCTGCCATATACAAGGTGTGTGACCTACACAAGGCTCTCGACTTCTCTGGGCCTGTTTCTTCATCTGGAAAATAGGGATAGTAATAGCATCTCTCCAAAAGGCCATGAAGATTAAATGCATTAATTTCTCTCAAGCCCCAAGAACATGCCTGACACTGAGTCAGCTCAGTGCACACTGGCAGTTAGGATTTCTGTCCTATGAAGAGGGCACTATTATTATCCCCGCTTTCCACATGACTTACTGAAGCACCAGTATTTGAACTGTTTTTGCTCCAGGGAACTCTCTTCCTGTGTGAAAGGAATTATGGAGATCTCAGGGTGATGCCAGAACCAACTGTTTGCACATAGCTTTTGTCAACTGGGGATCAACCCTCATGAAATCTGGGTGGCAGAGAGCCTCAATAAAGCAAGCCCTTTATTATACAGTTCTACCATCTGGATCCTCCTCCTAGCTGGGCTGTAGGGCAGATCAGAGACACATAGTAGGCGCCTGGTCTTGCCGGGAGCCACACCCACCCTCCGCCTGCCTTTCCCCGAGCTCTGGGCGGGGACAGCTTTATACAAAACGAGCTGCCTCTGGCCCCTCCCATGCAGAGCGGCTGGGGAACTGGACCAGCAGGTAAGTGGGCAAAGCGGGGCGGCTCAGGCCTGTGAGGGTGCAGCTGCAGCTACCAAGGCTGCCTGCTAGCTAGGAGCATGGGACACTGACCAGGATATGGCAGGGGCACTTATCTGGAGCCAGCAGGTGTCCCGTGGCCTTTCCCCTAGTTTCAGGCTGCCATGTCGGGAGAGTCCAAAGAGATAGGAGGGAAGAAAGGTTTCCTCCTCAGCTGGCATGTGGAGTCAGGACAGGCTGAGCCATCCAGGTGAAAGATCAAAGGGACAGGAGGGAAGAAAGGTTTCCTCCTCAGCTGGCATGTTGGAGTCGGGACAGGCTGAGCCATCCAGGTGAATTCCAGACCCCTGGTGCCTCCAGACCAAAAGGCTGGGCCCATGCTGGGTGTCATGGCTCACGCCTGTAATCCCAGCACTTCTGGAGACTGAGGCAGGTGAATCGCTTGAGCTCAGGGAGTTCAAGACCAGCCTGGGCAACGTGGCGAAACTCCATCTATACAAAAAATACAAAAATTACCCAGGTCGGACGTGGTGGCATGGGTTAATAGTCCCAGCTACTCAGAGGCTGAGGTGGGAGAATCGCATGAGCCAGGAAGGTTGAGGCTGCAGTGAGCTCAGATCATGCCACAGCACTTCAGCCTGGGTGACAGAGCGACATCCTGTCTTAAAAAAAAAAAAAAAAAAAAAAAAGACTGGGCCCCCACTGACTTTACCCAGGGCCATCTCCATGCTATCTCGGAACAACTTGACCAGGCTGAAGCCGCAGGAGCCTGGGAAGGAGGCTGGGAGTTGGGATGGACGTGGAGGGGAGGGGAACTGGCCTGGGGGAGGCTGCTCCACCAAGGTCAGCCCCATGGGAGGCCTGAAGCCCTTCCTGGCCTTGGGAGGGAGGAGAAGGGGGAAGAGAACTCACTGTCCGCTTCTACTGGCCAGGCTGAGCGCCTGTTATCTCATTCCCTTTTTCCTGGTCTGCTGAGCCCAGAAAGGCTGGGCATTCCCAGACCCTTTCACAGATGGAGAAACCAAGGCCTAGAGAGGGTGAGCAGCTGACCTGAGGTTGCACAGCCGGTGAGCACAGGCCTGAATGTCTGCCACAGCCTGAGATCAGGGGTGGGGCAGGGTTCGGGGAAGCACTATCTCCTCTCTGGGCCTTGGTTTCCCCACCTGTGCAATAGGGACATTGAGTTGGGATGAGTTTCAGGGGAACTCTGAGGTCCCAGCAACAAGAGGTAGAGATGGCCTTCTGCTACATGTGGCTGTGAACAGTGAGGGTGGCTGAGGCCAGGCTCCCAGCGCCCCAGCTGCCTCCTGCCTCCTGGCACCTCCCTGCCTCCCTCTCAGCCGCAGCTTCTCATTTTTCCCTGTCTCTGTGCCTCTGTTGTCCTTTCTCCCCATTTCTGCTTCTAGCTTTCGGTTCTTTCTGTCTCTTTGTCTCAGTCTCTTCTCTCTCACTCCCCTTCATCTCCCCCATCTCTCCCTGTGGGTTTTGTGGTTTTGACCTCTCAGCCTCCCTTCTTCATGGGCTCAAAGTCAGTCCATTCCTACCCACTCTCATGAGGGTGAGGCCAGGCCCTAAGTAGACGCCTACAGGCCTCACTAAGTTCTCCAGGAGCCTGGAACCCAGGAAAGAATTGGCTCAGACCCTTGCCCAGGAGTGAGATGTATCCAGTGTCAGGCTGCCACCTGGCACTGCCCCAGGGGTCACCCTGGCCAACACAACCCTCATAGCTGAGGCGGGTTTCCTCCAGTCTGGCCCACAGGGCTAGGTGCCTACCAGCTGGCAGATTATCCCTGCAGAGCGAGAACCCAGCCATGGTGCCAGGAGCTCAGGTGGCCCAGCCCGTGGCAAGCCAGATGGTCACCTGGGCACTGGGGGAGAGGACAAGCCCCCGCTCACATGGAGATTACACTCCAATGGGAGAGACCAGCGCTCAACAGATAGACACAGATAAACTCCCGTAACTGAGCTGGTGTCAGTAATACTTTGATGGAGGAAAACAGAGGGCAGGAGAATGTGGAGGGGGGCGGGGGACATTGGGTGGGATGGAAGCTGCCTGAGCTCCCTGGAGGAGATGGCCCAGCCCACACAATGACGGTGCACTGGCCCTGGTCAGAACCCCACTCCCAATTCTCTTCACTTTCTTGGGCTGGGGGCTCACAGCTTTTGATGCAAGAATGCAAAAGAGAAACCTTTGCCTGGAACTGATCCTTCTAGCTTCTCTATCTGTCGCCCACGCATTATGGGGCATCTTAACTGTCTCATGCGAAGCCTTAGGTTTCTGGTCTCTGGTGATCACATAAGGGGTCCTGGATCCTTGGGAAGCAGATATGTCTCAGAGCCTCTCTCAGCTTCTCCTGAGCCTGTACCCCATTTCTCTCTTTCTCTGGCCCAAGTCTTGGGAGGCCATCTGTGAGCAGAAAGAGATCCTGCTCAGCTTGACCCCCATGGCCCCTTCAGAACCCCTTCACCCTGAGGCCTTTCTCAGGGCTGGGTCCACAGTCAAGCATGCCTGGATGTAAAGCTCAGCTCCCAGCTGTATGACCCTAGGCAAATTTATTTCCCTTTTAAACCTCAGTTTCCTCATCTGTAAAATGGAGATAATCATAATGCCAGCCTCAGGATTGTGGAACAAGATTTGACAGGTAATGTGTTCAAAGAGCTTAGCACAGGGTCTGGCACAATAAATAGCTGAGGAGTGGCAGCTATGGTTGTCACTGTTGTCATGGTGATTGTTAGCTCTTTTGCTACAGCTTCCTAACCCTCCGAAGGTTTACTCCTGCTTCCTCCCTGGCGCCTCATGTTTCTCCTCACAACAGCCAGCACGATCCTGTTAAAAACTAGATTAGAGCTGGTCTCTTCTGCCCACTCACGGAGCTTTTTGCTCTAGAGAAAACACCCAAGCTGTCACCACAGGGCCACAGGGGACCTGCCCTGTCTCCTCCCCTCCAACCTGGCTCCCGCTGCTGCGGCCACACTGGCCTCCTAGCTGTCCTTTGAACAGCAAAATCCACTTCTGGGACAGAGCAGGTGTGGCCGCACCCCAGGGCCTTTTCACTTGCTGTTTTCTCCCCTGGACCGTGCTTTCTGCAGACAGCTCACTCCCACACTCCCTTCATGTCCTCTCCTTGACAGCGGCACATTCCCCATTCAGGAGCTTTGCTTTCCTCCGGAGTCCTTGCCACCATCTGACCTGCTCTATGTTTCTGTTTTTTATTCTGCTTCGTGAATGCTTCCTCCAACTTCCTGAGAGCAGGGATTGTGGTTGAGCACACAGTTGGTGCCCAAGAAATACTGGTTAAAATGAATAAATAAGAACTGCAAGGTCACTGTAAAATAAACAAACAAACAACAACAACAAAAAAAAAAAAAACAGAAAATACAGATATGCATCTTTTAAAAGTATCCCAACACATTCCGAACACCAGCCATTCTGAGTCTCTCCTTTTCTCTGGGGCCTTTTTGCACATGTAGTTCCCTCTGCCTAAGACATCCCCTTCATTGACATTAATGACTGTTCCTCACTGTGTCCCCGAGGTCCAAAAGCACACCTCACTTTTGAGGAAGGAGATAATTTGGGAGTGGGCCAGGGCCATAGGGCAGATGGGTCACGTGGGGACACACCCCCACTGTGCCTGGTTTCCAGACAAGGAAACAGACCCCCGGAGCCAAATCCCATCCCTCAAGTGACACAGCCGTGGTAGCACCTGGGTCAAAACCAGAGAATTCGTCTTTGTGGGGAGCAGGGATTTAGGCGTTCAGAGCTTAGGAGTTGTCGAACATACAAGAAAGTGAGGCTACTTCTGCCCTGTCTGCCCTCATCTCCCCATCCAGCCCTCTGTGGGAAAGCTACTGATGTTTGTAAATGTTTAACTGGACACTCTCATTAGTTTAATAGCTTTTCATATGGCAAAGGTCACCATCATCTGCAAATTCGCCTACTCCCCTTAACTACTGACTTAGCCCTCTTTACTAGGTATATCATTTATTGCTTTTGCTATATCCTTGTTTATTTTGCACCTTCGTCTGCTGTCTTGACCTGGAAGGGTGAGTCAGGCCTGTACTGCTGGACTGTGCTTCTGTCCATTTCTCCTGGAATGTCTGAGGCTATTTCAGGAAATATTCAGAATACAGATAGTCACTACAATTTTGACTCCTTTATGAATTAGAGTTTTGATATATGAAATGACTCTTGGTCTCAATTTATACTTTTGGTACCAAATGCTATATGGAGGGTTCTGTGTTCCTCTGTTCCTCCCTCTTTCTCTCTTCTCCTTTTTTTTTTTTTTTTCATATCTCTGCAAGACATTTGCCCCCAAGGGTCTAAACAACTACTTTTGTTAAATTTTGATTTTTGATCAAATCCTGGTTGGGACAGGACCTAAGTTTCAGAGTCAGAAAGTAGGTGGTAAAGGAGATAAATGTATTCATTAGTTTTTGGTTACTATAATCTTTCAATATATATCCTGGAATGTGTATCTCTGTGCACTTAGTATGGAGTAGTTTTTGTCTGTTTGTTTCTTTTAGTTTTTTGAGACAAGAGTCTTGCTTTGTCGCCGAGGCTAGAGTGCACTGGCGTGCTCTTGGCTCACTACAACCTCCACATCCCGAGTTCAAGCAATTCTCCTGCTTCAGCCTCCCGAGTAGCTAGAATTACAGGTGCCCACCACCATACCTGGCTAATTTTTTGTGTTTTTGGTAAAGACAGGGTTTTACCATGTTGACCAGTTGGAGGCTGGTCTTGAACTCCTGACCTCAAGTGATCTGCCAACATCAGCCTCCCAAAGTGCTGGAATTATACGAGTGAGCCACTGCACCCAGCCTCTGAGTACTTTTGTTGTACATAAAATAAGAGTGACTTAAACAACATAGAAGTTTCTTTTACAATTTAACAACAACATTAAACAAACAAACAAAACAGTTCAACACAGGCAAAACAGGGCTGGTATGGGTGCTCTCTGCCACAAAATCCCAAAGGAGCCTAGTATGCATCTAACCCCCACCACATGCCTCATAGCACAAAATCGTTGCTGGAGTTCTGGCCATCACATCTGATTCCAGACAGCCAAATGGAGGAAGAGCAGAAGGGCACACTCCCTTATTGTTAACTCTTTCCCTGTTTGCCAGAAGGAATACCCACTTGTGACTGCAGTGTTTACCCCAAGATAACTTTGCCACAAAATACCTCGCTTTTATTATTATTTTTGCCTTGCTCTAGTATATTGACTTTGGAAACAAAAGACATCACTCTATTTGTAGCATTCTGGTTTTAGTCGTGGTATTTCCATTTACAAAACAAAGTAATTCTCGATCGCTGAAAATAGCAAATCCTAGCATTCCTATGTGTGATGTTAACATTGTTCTTGAACAGTTGTTGACCAAAGATTCGTTTGATGAATCCAGTTTTTCTGAAATAGATGAGTCTGATGTTAGTTCTGGTTAGAAATAACTTCAAAAACAGTTTTTACATGTTATTTTCACATTGAAAATCAGTCAGATTTAGGGCTGGGCTTGGTGGCTCACGCCTGCAATCCCAGCACTCTGGGAGGCTGAGGCGTGGGGATCACTTGAACCCAGGAGTTCGAGACCAGCCTGGCAACATGGAGAAACCCCGTCTCTACTAAGAAATATAAAAAATTAGCCGGACATTGTGGTGCACGCCTGTAATCCCAGCTACTAAGGAGACTGAGGCACGAGAACTGCTTGAACTCGGGAGGCGGAGGTTGCTGTGAGCCGAGATCAAGCCACTGTAGTCCAGCCTGGGCTACACAGTAAGACTCTGTCTCAAAAGAAAAAAAAAAAAAACAGCAGTCAGAATCAGATTTGCTTCAGCCTCAAATAGCACGTTTACATAAAATTAAATGAGTGCTGGCAACGAGCTGCACTTTTTTTTCTAAACAGGAAACGGGCTAAGGAGACTACTCAAAGTCGCATTTGAATTCATTGGCCTGTGCTTGATGACATGGCCATGTGCAGCTACAAAGAAGGCTGGGAAATGTAGTCCTTTAGTTGAGTGGCCATTTGTCTAACAAAAACTGCGCCTTTTTTTTATTTTTTCTTTTTTAAGATGGAGTCTCGCTCTGTTGCCCAGGCTGGAGTGCAGTGGCATGATCTCGGCTCACTGCAACCTCCACCTCCCAGGTTGGAGCCGTTCTCCGGCCTCAGCCTCCTGAGTAGCTGGGATTACAGGTGTGCGCCACCATGCTGGGCTAATTTTTGTATTTTTAGTAGAGACGGGGTTTTGCCATGTTGGCCAGGCCAGTCTCGGACTCATGACCTCAAGGGATCCGCCCGCCTCATCCTCCCAAAGTGCTAGGATTACAGACGTGAGCCACCGCGCCTGGCCAATAACTACATGTTTTTGAATGCAACTGATACGTTTGCTGAAATAGTAATCTTATAATGATGGTTCATTGAGCCCTCACTATGTGGCAGGCACAGTTTTAGCACTTTAGTGCATGTTCCTAGCAACAGTTCTGATGTTGGTACTGACAGCCTATAGCTGTTTTGCAAGAGAAGACTCTGAAGCACAGGAGGTTAGGTCACTTGCTCAGCTTGTAAGGGTTGAAGCTGGGATTTGAACCCAGGCAACTGGTTCCAGATGTTACCGCAGGGGAGAGCTCCAAGATGGCCCGAGTCTAGAACAGAGAAAGAGGCCAAAGTGGGGGGCCACTTCTTCCAAAATATTCCTGAGAAGCCAGAAATGCTGAAGGTTGCTTGCCATCCCCTCCACTGCTGATTACAGTAACAAATTGTTAAACACACTGGGCAAACCAAAGTAATATATCTGCTGTCTGGCAGTGGCCAGTGAGTTAACAATTTACAAATCCTAAGCTAAGTCATTGAGAAAGGCCCTTCCACCTTCAAAATGTCAGATTCCCAAGCAGCCCCTGCCCTCAAAAAGCTTCAGTCTCAAGGTATGTGCCTGCATGCACCCACACAAGAACAACCTGA
Organism: Homo sapiens; assembly: GCF_000001405.40. Lineage (NCBI taxonomy): Eukaryota > Metazoa > Chordata > Mammalia > Primates > Hominidae > Homo > Homo sapiens. The sequence continues at coordinate 769,006 of NC_000020.11, read as the reverse complement.
AATGAAGGGGTCATGGGCCCTGGTGAGGACGCCTGAGAAGGTGAGGCAGCCAGAGGTCTCCTGGAGGACGGAGTCTTGTAGAAAGCTTGGATGTGGACAGCAGAGGGGGCTGGTGCTCCAGGCTGGGAGGACAGCACAGGCAAAGGTGTGCCACTGCTGTCTGGGAGCTTCCCCTCCCTCCTTGGGTCCTCTTGGCACGCCTGGAGTGGGCCTCACCTGTGCTATTAGTCAAGTCAGCTTCCTAAGGGAGGGAATGGAGTCTGAGGCCCCCAGAAGGGAGGGGGCAGAGCGGGACTGCTAGGGGATCTGACTGCGTTACACCCCAGGAGTGGCTCCTCCCAGAGAGGAAAAGGAGGTGACCAGAAAGGCCACTGAGCATTGGGTTCGCTCAGTGAAGGTATGAGGAAGGAAGTCCCAGCCCTGTGAGGGAATTCCGTGTGTGGGAACCGTGGGGAGGAGCTGCCAGGATTCAGGAGTTTCCTGGGTGAGGCGTGGCCACAACGGACACTCCTGCTTTGTACTAGAAGGAAGAAGTATGGAGTTAAAGACTGCAGCGTGAACTGAGGAGTCCCGGACAGGCCGCTTGCTGCAGAGGATCCAGTCCAGATCCCAGGAGAGCCCCTCTGCCCCTTCGGACCTCGTCTCCCATCTACAAAACGTGAAGATTGGCCCAGTTAGCGTGTCTCTACAAAAAGGTGCATATACCACTGGTGAGTTCACTTGATACCTAGTAGGGGAATCTTTTCCTTTTTTAAATTTTCATAGTCATGTATTAATTCTCATGTGAATTAGACAAAAATAACGATGTCACCAAACCTGCCATTTCACGATAATGATCAGTAACCCTTAGAGGTGCTTACCCTATGCTGGGACTGTTGGAAACAGCATAAACTCACCAGCATCCTTATATCTCACAACAAACCACGGAGTTCATACTATCACTATCCCCTACTTACAGATGAGGAGATGAGGCAGAGAGAGGCAAAGCCACTTGCCCAGGGTCACCCAGATTGTAAGCAGCAGAGCCAGGGTCAAACTCAAACAGCTGGCTCCAGAGCCTCACTCCTGGCATCTCCCATATTACTGCTCAGACTAAGGATAGATAGAAGAAAGTTGTTAGTAACAGCACAGGTGGGCTGCCACTGGTAGCTGACAAAGGGGTAAACAGATGGCAGAATGGCTCTGGAGGGCTAGAGGAAGTGGTCTCCAAAGGCCACGTAGAGAGTGATATAATTTCAGGAGGAAAAAAAGCCAGATTGAAATCTTATTTCAGGTAACCATATATTTGCATCAGGTAATATGTTTACATGGTTCACAAATCAAAACTCTTATTAAAAGATATACAGAGGCAGGGCCAGGAGCGGTGGCTCATGCCTGTAATCCCAGCACTTTGGGAGGCTGAGGAGGGTGGATCACAAGATCAGGAGATTGAGACCATCCTGGCTAACACGGAGAAACCCCATCTCTAATAAAAATACAAAAAATTAGCTGGGCGTAGTGGTGGGCGCCTGTAGTCCCAGCTACTTGGGAGGCTGAGGCAGGAGAATCACTTGAACCCGGGAGGTAGAGGTTGCAGTGAGCTGAGATTGTGCCACTTCACTCCAGCCTGGTGACAGAGTAAGACTCTGTCACAAGAAAAAAAAAAAAGATATACAGAGGCATCACCAACATCCCTGCAGTCCCTGTGTGTCCTTCAAGGGTTGCTTTGTGCAAGTACAAGCAAAGAAAACATGTTTTTCCTCCTCTTCTATGACCAAAAGGCAGTACACTTTTTCCTGGTTCCATTTACCTGCCTTGATTTTGTTTCAAGATTATTATTATAGCCTGGAGACCTTTCCTTATCAGTCACCAAGATCTGCTTTCCTTATTTCTTATTCCTTTAAACAGGTATGTGGTATTCCAGCAGGTCCCTTTAATTAGCCCCCTCTCTGTTGGTAGCCACCCAGGAGAAAATTTCCCATAACTTGCTATTACCAACAAGATCGCAATCTATAATAACCTTGAACATGAGTCATTTTGTCAGGCTTTGGGACAATCTCATGGTGAGAAATGGCACCTGGAGTAGTTTTCCTATTGTGAATGAAGGTGATAATATTTTCATGTGTTTAAAGCTTATTTGTACCTTTTTCTCTGAATTGTTCATATCCTTGGCCCTCTTCTATATGGGGTCTCTTTGTTCTTGATTTTTAAAAACTCTTTATATATTAGGAATGTCACGCGCGTCCATGTGAAGAGACCATCAAACAGGCTTTGTGTGAGCAACAAGGCTGTTTATTTCACCTGGGTGCAGGCGGGCTGAGTCCGAAAAGAGAGTCAGCGAAGGGAGATAGGGGTGGGGCAGTTTTATAGGATTTGGGTAGGTAGTGGAAAATTACAGTCAAAGGGGGTTGTTCCCTGGCGGGCAGGGGTGGGGGTCACAAGGTGCTCAGTAGGGGAGCTTCTGAGCCAGGAGAAGGAATTTCACAAGGTAATATCATCAGTTAAGGCAGGAACCGGCCATTTTCACTTCTTTTGTGATTCTTCAGTTACTTCAGGCCATCTGGATGTACACGCGCAGGCTTGGGCTCAGAGGCCTGACAAGGAAGATGAGCCCTTTGTCTGTGATTTATGTGGCAAATGTTTTCCCCGTGTTTTCATTTAACTTTTGACCTTGCTGTTGGTATCTTTTGCAGAAGCTGCTTTGTTTGCTTTTGTGTGTCGGATTGAACTTTTCTTTCATGAATCACGGTTAGGAAAGGCTTCTCTTGTTTTCTGCTAATAAAAAGACAGCTTGGGCCAGGCGTGGTGGCTCACACTGTAATCCCAGCACTTTGGGAGGCCGAGGCAGGCGGATCACCTGAGGCCAGGAGTTCGAGACCAGCCTGACCAACGTGGGGAAACCCTGTTTCCACTAAAAATACAAAATTAGCTGGCATGGTGGCATGCACCTGTAATCCCAGCTATTTGGGAAACTGAGGCAGGAGAATCACTTGAGCCCAGGAGGCAGAGGGTCACTGAGCCGAGATCATCCCATTGCACTCCAGCCTGGACTAAAAGAGTGAAACTATGTCTCAAAGGAAAAAAAAAAAAGCCAGCTTGTTCACAGGAAGGGGAGTAATAAGAGAAAACTCTGGGCCCCAGGTCCCAGCATCTTGCTAGGTGGTGAAGCTGGAATTACTCACCTGGTGTCCTTCTCTGCCAGCCCCGCTGCAGGCTGATCTGAGAAAGCCTCTGGCCCAGGGCAGATACCGCCATGGCCTTCCTGATGCACCTGCTGGTCTGCGTCTTCGGAATGGGCTCCTGGGTGACCATCAATGGGCTCTGGGTAGAGCTGCCCCTGCTGGTGATGGAGCTGCCCGAGGGCTGGTACCTGCCCTCCTACCTCACGGTGGTCATCCAGCTGGCCAACATCGGGCCCCTCCTGGTCACCCTGCTCCATCACTTCCGGCCCAGCTGCCTTTCCGAAGTGCCCATCATCTTCACCCTGCTGGGCGTGGGAACCGTCACCTGCATCATCTTTGCCTTCCTCTGGAATATGACCTCCTGGGTGCTGGACGGCCACCACAGCATCGCCTTCTTGGTCCTCACCTTCTTCCTGGCCCTGGTGGACTGCACCTCTTCAGTGACCTTCCTGCCGTTCATGAGCCGGCTGCCCACCTACTACCTCACCACCTTCTTTGTGGGTGAAGGACTCAGCGGCCTCTTGCCCGCCCTGGTGGCTCTTGCCCAGGGCTCCGGTCTCACTACCTGCGTCAATGTCACTGAGATATCAGACAGCGTACCAAGCCCTGTACCCACGAGGGAGACTGACATCGCACAGGTACCCAGCATCACCCGGAGCCATCTCAGCACTTGGCTTTATCACAAATGTAGGGGAGGGAAAAACTGCTCACCTCCATCCTTCTAGGTTCTTTGGTCGGCCTATGAGTTAAACTGACATAAGGCAGATCAACAGCAGGAAACTCATTTTAATTACTTACATACATACGCATGGGAGTCCCCAAAAAATATGAGACTCAAAAAAGGGCCAGATGATTTCAGCTTCTATAGCATCCTGAGCTACAAAAGGGAATAGGGGCTTGAGGCTACTGCAGGATGGTGGAGACAAATTATGGGAGAGTGAAGGGAGGAAACTTATGGTGAATAAACATTGCACTGTTATGCAGATAAAAGTTCCTCGGGTGATAAAGGCCATCACCTTTCTCTTCCTGGTTCAGATACCCCTTCGTGGTACAGATACCTTTTCTTGGTACAGATAAGATAGCTTTACTAATAAAAATTTCCTTTAGATGTAAATTTATCTTACAAAATGGCAACTTTTCAGAGCTACTCCTTAGCCTGCAATTTTTCAAAATAACCAGCTAGAAATAAAAAATATGCCAATAGGTCAATTTTGGGGTGGCATATTCTGGCCTCCTACAGTCATATTTTGGGATGGCATGTCCTGAAGGCCCTTATTTCCTAGACGATGGGTGGAGCAGTGTTCTTCCTTAGGTGGGGGCTCTCCCCTTAGGTGGGGGATTCTCCCCTTAGGTGGGGGCTCTCCCCTTAGGTGGGGGATTCTCCCCTTAGGTGGGGGCTCTCCTCTTAGGTGGGCGGCTCCACTGCTCAGTCTCCAGCTAGCTCCTCCTCTGAACATGTTTGTGGTTGCCACTGCTGTGGGGTGATAAAAGGTGTAGCTTCCAAGTCAGAAAGCACCAGGTGGAGTCTGGCTTTGCCACATTCTCCCTGTGACCCTCAGGTAAGGGACGAAGCATTCTGATACCTCAGTTCCCTCTAAAATGGGGGATGATGGTGCCCACTGTGCAGCCCTGTTAGGAGGCATAGGGGCTTATCCATGCACAGTGCCCGTGCTCAGTGGGCAGTCAGTATGAGCAGTCATTATTGCCACCTTGTTAGTTATGTTTATTTATTCATTATCCATTAATAATAACAGGTGATCTGTATTCTGTTATCACTGTCATGATTGTTGTTCTGCAGCCTGATCCCCTCCCCTGACCAGGGATCTGTCTTGTCCTTTGCAGGGAGTTCCCAGAGCTTTGGTGTCCGCCCTCCCCGGAATGGAAGCACCCTTGTCCCACCTGGAGAGCCGCTACCTTCCCGCCCACTTCTCACCCCTGGTCTTCTTCCTCCTCCTATCCATCATGATGGCCTGCTGCCTCGTGGCGTTCTTTGTCCTCCAGCGTCAACCCAGGTGCTGGGAGGCTTCCGTGGAAGACCTCCTCAATGACCAGGTCACCCTCCACTCCATCCGGCCGCGGGAAGAGAATGACTTGGGCCCTGCAGGCACGGTGGACAGCAGCCAGGGCCAGGGGTATCTAGAGGAGAAAGCAGCCCCCTGCTGCCCGGCGCACCTGGCCTTCATCTATACCCTGGTGGCCTTCGTCAACGCGCTCACCAACGGCATGCTGCCCTCTGTGCAGACCTACTCCTGCCTGTCCTATGGGCCAGTTGCCTACCACCTGGCTGCCACCCTCAGCATTGTGGCCAACCCTCTTGCCTCGTTGGTCTCCATGTTCCTGCCTAACAGGTGTGCCCTCATCTGGTCCTAGGGAATCCTAGTGGGGGAACACTTCATTTCAGAACCCAGAATTCCAAACGCACCTACTGGGCTGTACATGTAGTGGTTAAGAACATGTTTGGGGAGCACCCTGGTCCAAATCCCAGCTCTGCCACCTGTCAGCTGTGTGTAAGACAAGTCACTTCAGTTCTCTGTGCCTCAGGGATATTTATCGGAAAATGGGAGTGTAACATTCCACCTCCTAGGACTGCTGGAAGCATGATATGAGCTGATTCTATAAAGCTCTTGGAGCGGTGCCTGGCACGTGGCAGGTCCAGCCTAAGCGTTGACCATCATTGTCATCAGTCCATGAGGAGGAGCAGATAGCCACTGAGGTTCCCGTTTATAAGGGGAAACCCTGAGGCTTGGAGAAAGAGCTTGACCTGGTCTAATTCCCAGGATTTCGGCCCTGCCTTCCTGCCTCTAACCTCCTGCTGGTTCCCTTAGAGCCACAGTTCTAGAAGAATGGCTGGGCAAGTTGATAAAATGCAGATTGAACCAGCCTAGACTGGGACCTGGGATTTCAATTTTTAGTAAGGAAACCAGACGGTTCTGAGGCAGGGGCTTCAGACCCCTGTAGGAGAACTACCACCTTGGGATCTTGACATTTGAGGTGGGTCCTACAGCCTCGTATCCACGCTGGCCTGCCTGTCCTCACTGGCCTGCTTACACCCACTCTCCCAGCCCAGAAGAAGGACAGTGAGGACAGAAGAGCTTGACAGAAAGCTTGCCAGGAAGCTGGATTTTCTACCTTGGGACCTAGAAACTGGAAAGAGGATGGAGGATTTGAGGGAAGCAGGACCAAAGGCTCAGACCTGCAAATCCAAGAAACCCCAAATGTTAGAATTACAGAATCTGAGTCATGGAATCCAAGAATCTTGGAGCAGAAAGAGTCTTTAAGGGTATAGGCAGACCTCTGTCTGTTCTTACCCAGGGCGTGGACCAGTCTTGGGGTTCTAGAGATTGGGACCCCAGGGACAAGGACCTGTGAGGAAGGACAGTGGTCCCAGATGTAGGTTTGCATGGAAGGCCACCTGTAGAGAGATGCTCCTAGCAGCAACAAGCCAGCTGCCAGGACCCCTGGAGATCAGCACACTCCACATTGCAGAGGCAGGTAGCTGAGGCCAGAAGGGGAGGGGTCTCCTGAGGAGGCACAGCAAACCCTACTGTGCCAATGCCCGATCCAGCCATCTTCACTTCAACTCAGCTTCCTGGCTGAGGCTGAGGGTGTGTTGCAGGAGGAAATGCCAGCAGGTAAACACCAGGTGGGCCCACAGCGGCGCCAGGCCTGCATGCTCTGCTCCTGGAGGTCATGCAGCCTTGCAAAACTCCGATTTGGAGGCTCAGAGGCGAGTCTCAGCTTAAACAGTAGAACTGGGATTTGAACCAGGACCATCCGGTGCCAGAGTCCATTATGTTTTTCTTGCCGGGGTGCCAGGCCCTGCCGTTAATGCTGGGGATGACTCAGGCCAGCCCTGCCTGCTCAGGAGCCTCCCTGACCCACTTGAGCCAGGCAACCTGGAATTTTCCACATGGGTCTAAACTAACTATGGAGACACTGGCCATCCACATGCCGCCCAGTGGGGCGGGGGGGTCAGAGGTCAGGCTTCTCACCTCCACTCACCTCCCCTACTTTCCTCTAGGTCTCTGCTGTTCCTGGGGGTCCTCTCCGTGCTTGGGACCTGCTTTGGGGGCTACAACATGGCCATGGCGGTGATGAGCCCCTGCCCCCTCTTGCAGGGCCACTGGGGTGGGGAAGTCCTCATTGTGAGTATCCGGCCGGTGGGGCTGCTCCCGCTGCGTACCCCTCACCCCTAGCCAAGGCCTGGGAGAGCTTGGGCGCGGCCCTTTCCAGCGAGCGGGGTCTGTGGGACCCTCCCGGGAAGCCCCAGGTGGGGGAAGCGCCCCTTCCTCATTTGGGAGTGGAGGCTTAGGGAATCGAGGTGACTGGTAGGCCTCTTCCCACCATGTGTACCTCAGCAGGGGCCTTCTCTCAAGGGCCCTTGCCCTGATCATGGGCACGTGAACCCAGAAAAGCCACTGGATTCTCCTTCGCCCCCGGGCGGCCAACTCATGGGACCCGTCGGCCCCGCAGGCTCACTCCCAGAAGGCGCTCCTCGCACCTAGAGAGTATTCCGTGGGTTCCCCTGAGCCCTGTGAGAGTTCTTTGCTCCGGCGCTCGCCCCGCAAGCCCCGTGACTCTGCACCTCTTCCCTCCCGGCCCCGCAGGTGGCCTCGTGGGTGCTTTTCAGCGGCTGCCTCAGTTACGTCAAGGTGATGCTGGGCGTGGTCCTGCGCGACCTCAGCCGCAGCGCCCTCTTGTGGTGCGGGGCGGCGGTGCAGCTGGGCTCGCTGCTCGGAGCGCTGCTCATGTTCCCTCTGGTCAACGTGCTGCGGCTCTTCTCGTCCGCGGACTTCTGCAATCTGCACTGTCCAGCCTAGGCAGGCCGCCGACCCCGCCCCCATCGCTCACGGACGGAACTGGGGTCCAGAGAGGCCAGGTCACAGAGCAAGGGGCAGGAACAGAGAGACAGAGCCTGAGTAATTGAATCATGAACGCAAGTGCCCACTGGGGACTGTGGGGAAGATGGCACCTGGAAATGCAAGGTGCGGCTCTATCCCCAACTCTGTGTCACACTACCTGTGACGACCAGCTCAGATCTCCTTTGCTTTGACTCTCAAGAGAGGACTGATTTGCAGCATCTAGCTGGAGGCAGGCCCAAGGGTGTTAGAAGGGAAACAGCTGGGACAGCCGGCTGTCCCTTCAGGCTGTGTGACCTTGGGAAAGTCATTTGGCTTCTCTGTGCCTGTTTCTTCATGCATGCAGTGGGGATTCCAGTAAGTACCAACTACCTCACAGGCATGGCACGGAGGCAAAAGGAAAAAGCAGCCCGCATCAAGCAAGCCCTCCTGGGCCACCTGCTGATCTGACAGTCCATCGTAGTAACAAGAGTGGCAGTCTGCACAACCTAGAAGTGGCCAGAAGGGTTGAGACACGCCCCTGCCCTCTCTCCTTTGCCCCTCAGTCTCACAGAGGGGCTTCTACAAGACAAGCAGATAACGATAGAATCTTGGGCATCTTGGCTTTCGGATTCTCAGTGTGGAGGGACGTAGTACCCCACACACCCCTTCCTGTCATCCTTCCTGGCCCATAAAGCCCACTAGTTGGAGAGTAAGTACCCTCCTGGAAGCCGGGAGAGATGATTTGCTGGTGGGGCTGGGGAAGGCCCATCCCTGAGCCTCTGAAAGTGAACTCCCCGACCAGGTTGGGGACCAGACATGCAGAGCCCCTGGAAGTATTCTCTCAAATGGAGGCAACAGAGGTGATTGTTATTTTGTTTTAGTTTCTGTTTTTCATTTTTTTAAATAAAGGCATTCCCTGCTTTTACACTCAGATCTTCCTTCAAAGGAGAAGTTCAGGCATGGCACAGTGGCTCACACCTGTAATCCCAGCACTTTGGGAGGCCAAGGCGGGCAGATCACTTGAGGCCAGGAGTTTGAGATCAGCCTGGCCAACATGGCAAAAACCCATCTCTACTAAAAATACAAAAAATTGCTGGTCATGGTGGCACATGCTTGTAGTCCCAGCTACTCAGGAGACTGAGAATTGCTTGAACCCCAGAGGTGGAGGCTGCAGTGAGCTGAGATCGTGCCACTGCCCTCCAGCCTGGGTGACAGAGCAAGATTCTGTCTCAAAAATAATAATTTTAAAAAGAAGAAGTTTAATGTGAACTCCGAAAATGTGTAATTAGTTTTCACTTGGTTCTAAGCTCAAGGCTGAGCTCAGAAATGAACAGAATCAAGTGCTTAAGGATGTCTGGTTCTGGGGCTTTTTTTGTTTTGAGATGGAGTCTTGCTCTGTCACCCAGGCTGGAGTGCCGTGGCGCAATCTCAGGTCACTGCAACCTCTGCCTCCCAGGTTCAAGTGATTCTCCTGCCTCAGCCTCCTGAGTAGCTAGGATTACAGGTGCCCACCACCACACCTGGCTAATTTTTTTTTTTTGGAAGCAGAGTCCTGCCTGTTGCTCAGGCTGGAGTGCAGTGGTGTGATCCCGGCTCACTGCAACCTCTGCCTCCCAGGTTTAAGTGACTCTCCTGCCTCTCAGTCTCCGGAGTAGCTGGGACTACAGGTGCGCACTACCACACCTGGCATATTTTTTGTATTTTCAGTAGAGACGAGGTCTCACCATGTTGCCCAGGCTGGTCTCGAACTCCTGAGTTCAGGCAATCTGCCCACCTTGGCCTCTCAAAGCGCTAAGATCATAAGAGTTAGCCACTGCGCCCGGCCCCTGGGACTTCTTTTTAGAGGTTTCGTTTGCTTGCCACCACCATGCTTCCCATCCCTGTTAACTTACTGTGAATAGGTAATACAGTCACGTGTTTCAAAAAATCAGAAAATATAAGGTGTACAGAGAAAGGTTTTCATCCCTTTCCTCTCCCTCATCTGCCCAGTTTCTCTTAACACACACACACACACACACACACACACACACACGAGCACTTTTATCAGTCGCTGTTTACCCTTCCAGAGATTATACAAATGGCAAATACAGCCTTCTCAGACCTCTTTTTTTACAGAAAAAGTAGTAAACTGTTGTGCACCTTGCACTTTTCATTCAACAACGAAAACAGGCTCCTTGTTTTTTTGCCATGACTGTGCAGTATTCTCTTTTGTGGAGATGCCACATTTATTTAACCAACCCTCTGTAGAAAGACATTTGAAGATGCTGGAGACAAAATTAAAGATCTAATCCAGAAAACCTTTCCACAAAAGTAGAAGAGAAAACAGTTTTATTATTAAATAAGCGTTAAACCAGACTGCAGTGGGCATCACAGGCAATCCACAAAAGAGATTACAAAGAGAAATACATTTCGTCCTCCTATATAACCAAGCAGGTATAACCTATTGCATACATGTCCTCAAATAATAACTAGGGCCGGGGTGGTGGCTCATGCTTGTAATCCCAACTCTTTGGGAGGCCAAGGTGGGCAGATCACTTAAAGTCAGAAGTTCGAGACCAGCTTGGCCAACATGGCAAAACCCCATCTCTACTAAAAATACAAAAATTAGCCAGGTGTGGTAGTGCACGCCTGTAATCCCAGCTCGGGAAGCTGAGGCAGGAGAATTGTTTGAACCTGAGAGGCAGAGGTTGCAGCGAGCTGAGATCGTACCACTGTACTCCAGACTGGACAACAGAGCGAGACTCTGTCTCAAAAAAAAAAAAATAGTTCTCGAGTCAGATGACTGCACAACACAATTTGCAACTTATTTCATCCCGAATTCACCTGGTAATTGGAGTGGCCATCTGTGTTAGCTAATTGTCTTTATCCAGAGAAAATATAAACTCACATCTTTATGATAGACGATGGATTGTTTTGCAACTTGGAGCCAAGCACTGAAGTTAGGCTCCTATCTGCCCATGGAGACTGGATGAGAAGGGTGCAATCTTGATGTTTACCTTCCAAAGAGATGGCTCCTAGGTCCTTGGGAAAACATCCCTGGCTTGTAAAACTGGCAGGAGGCTCACCTGGCTTTTAAAAAGACACATCTTAAAGGAACAGAGAAATAATTGAGAAGTTTTCTAAAGTGTTTGCTCTAGAGTGTTTAAGAACAGGAAACGGGAGGTTTCTTTCCTTTTTCTGCACCAGGGAGAATTATTTTAGTTTTTGTATTTGCCCTTACAAGGGCATTTGGGTTTCCAGTCAGTCCCTCCCAGGAAGGATGTTGGAGTGGATAATGATCAAGGAGTTTCTCTGTACTGATGTAGGAAGTTGCCCCAGAATTAATTACACATGTGCACACACACAAAGGAGATGCAGAAAAGCCTGTGGAGTGTGGTGCTATCCATGCTGATGTGGTTTGTGAAGGACTGGGTGGAGGGCGCATTGGCATTTGGAAAAGGCGCCTCTCTGGTTTTGCTTTCATGCACCATCCTTGCAGGTCTTTAGCCCTTAAGGTACCGTGCAAGACCCAGCTCTTCTCAGCCTTGTCAGCACATGCGGATGAGAAAAGCACCTCCCTCCCAGGATTGCTGTAAGGATGCACTGAGCTAGTATGTGCAAAGTGCTTAGCACCGCAGTGGCAAACAGTAAGTGCTCAATAAATATCATTAAAAAGCAGTCTCACTTTGGGAGGAGATCCACCACAGACGCTTGATGTCCCCAAACTACACTCTCCCTCCCCCCGCCCCACTCCCAACTGAAATGCAGTTTTGAGGCAGGCCTGAGAGGCGATGCTCCTACAGACACCAAGTGACCAGCTAGGTAAATTCTCTGAAGAATGAGATCAGGGCTGGATGTGGTGGTTTACACGTGTAATCCCAGTATTTTGGGAGGTTGAGGCAGGAGGATTGCTTGAGCCCAGGAGTTTGAGACCAGCCTGGGCAACATAATGAGACCCTGTCTCTACAAAAAAAAATACAAAAATTAGCTAGGCATGGTGGCACATGCCTGTGATCCCAGCTACTCAAGAGGCTGAGGTGGGAGGATTGCTGGAGCCCAGGAGTTCAATGCTGCAGTGAGCCATGATGGTGCCACTGCACTCCAGCCTGGGTGACAAAGTGAGATGCCATCTCAAAAAAAAAAAAAAAAAAAAGGCCAGGCACGGTGGCTCATGCCTGTAATCCCAGCACTTTGGGAGGCCAAGGCAGGTAGATCACCTGAGGTTGGGAGTTCGAGACCAGCCTGATCAACATGGAGAAACTCCATCTTTACTAAAAATACAAAATTAGCCAGGCATGGTGGTACATGCCTGTAATCCCAGCTACTTGGGAGGCTGAGGCAGGAGAATCACTTGAACCTGGGAGGCAGAGGTTGTGGTAAGCCGAGACCACGCCATTGAATTCCAGCTTGGGTATCAAGAGTGAAACTCCATCTCCAAAAAAAAAAAAAAGAGAGAGAGAGATCAAAACTCCAGACTCAGTCCAAGGGGTCGGCTTTCCCAAGAATGCCCCTGCAAGCTGGTATCTCAAGGCAGGTAGGAGGGAAGGAAGTGTGAGGTAAGGCAGAAGGTGCCTTCCAGGAGGAAACCGCACTTTTGAAGGCCAAGGGATAGAACCAGCAGGATGCATTCCAGGGCCTGATGGAAGCCAGTATGGCGACCCAGAGAGAGAGACAGAGTACCTTGGAAGCCAAGATCATGGAGAGATGGAGGGCTGCTTTGGCCTGCGTGACATTGAAAGGGACCACACCAGATGCAAGCAGGCTCAGAAGCCGCTGCAGCCATCCTGGAGAGAAATAACATCACCCTGGGCAAAGAGTGGAACCGCCCAAGGGGTTCACCTTGCAGGCTGCCTATTCATCAAGAGCCGATTCATCAAGACAGGAGAAATGCAATAGAGAAAGAGTAATTCACACAGAGCCAGCTGCGTGGGAGACTGGAGTTTTATGACTCAAATCTGTCTCTCCGAGCATTTGGGGAGAAGAGTTTTTAAGGATAACTTGGTGGGTGGGGAGAAGCCAGTGCACCAGGAGTGCTGATTGGTCAGGGTTGAAATCACAGGGAGTCCAAGCTGTCTTCCTGAGCTGAATCAATTCCTGGGTGGGGGCCACAAGATCAGATGAGCCAGTTTATTGACGTGGGTGATGCCAGCTGATCCATCAAGTGCAGGGTCTGAAAAATATCTCAAGCCCTGATGTCAGGAGTAGTTTAGGGAGGGTCAGGATCTTGTAGCCTCCAGCTGCATGACTCCTAAACCAAAATTTCTAATTTTGTGGCTAATGTTAGTCCTACAAAGGCAGCTTAGTCCCCAGGCAAGAAGGAGGTCTGCTTTGGGAAAGGGCTGTTTAAAGTATAAACTAAGTTTCTCCCAAGGTTAGTTCAGCTTATGCCCAGGAATGAACAAGGACAGCTTGGAGGTTAGAAGCAAGATAGAGTAGGTTAAGTTCGACCTCTTACTGTGGGCCAGGCGTGGTGGCTCACGCCTGTAATCCCAGCACTTTGGGAGGCTGAGGCAACCTCAGGTGTGAGGTTGGGAGTTCGAGGCCAGCCTGACCAACACGGAGAAACCTGTCTCTACTAAAAATACAAAAATTAGCCAGGCATGGTGGCGCGTGCCTGTAATCCCAGCTACTCGGGAGGCTGAGGCAGGAGAATCGCTTAAACCCAGGAGGTGGAGGTTGCAGTGAGCCGAGAACACACCATTGCACTCCAGCCTGGGCAACAAGAGCGAAACTCTGTCTCAAAGGAAAAAAAAAAAGATCTCTCATTGTCTCAGTCATAATTTTGCAAAGGTGGTGTCTCAGTCATAATTTCCCAAAGGTGGTTTCAAGAGGGACCTGCACTGGGCGTGGTGCACTGGGCCAACCTACCACATAGACCAAAATGTTCTTCTTTTTGATCTCCTGAGAATGTTTTTCAGGATGTTGGTCACCAACTGAACAAAGGGACTCTGCAGGAAAAGGACAGAATGGCCCTCCCTCTCTCCTGGGCTGGCAGGTGGGAGCTGAGAGGAAATGCATTTGAGGAGGCAGGGTGGGGGCTCAGTCTCCGCCCTGAGAACCCACAGCAAGAGTGACTGTTCCAGCTTAAAGCTGCCCACTCAAACCTCCAAAGTGGAGGTCCCCAGGTGACACTCCCTCCTGCCATTTTGCTGGGGTGGTGTATTCTGGGAGACATTTTATTTGATTTGATTTTTTTATTTTATTTTATTTGAGATGCAGTCTTGCTCTATCACCCAGGCTGGAGTGCAGTGGCACAATCTCAGCTCACTGCAACCTCCACCTCCTGGGTTCTCCTGCCTCAGCCTCCCAAGTAGCTGGGATTACAGGCACTGCCACCACGCTTGGCTAATTTTTGTATTTTTAGTAGAGACGGGGTTTTGACATGTTGGTCAGGCTGGTCTCGAACTCCTGGCCTTAAGTGATCTGCTCGCCTAAGGCCTCTCAAAGCGTTGGGAATACAGGCGTTAGCCACTGCACTGGGCCACTGGGAGGCTTTTAGAACTGCCTGGAAACCAGAGCCAGAAGAGTGAAGCCTGTGGCAGGGGGATCGACCCACCCTGGCTCCCTGCTGTGCTTGACCCAGTCAGCCCTGCCCTAGATTTGGGCAAATCTAGCCCCAGCTCAGGAATCCTGGCCCCAGGCCCAGTTTCTGTCTTGCCCTGCCTTGTCCTTCCCTGGCTTAGGGAGAACCCTCTGCCTCTCAGGGCACACCACTTCCAGTGGCCGTGGCTTGACTTCCATCTTTTAACACTTTCTCTACAATGGCCTGTGGGTCTGTATGTGTGTCCCCGGCCTTGCAAATGGGGTTGTGTCCTGACAGTGGTCCTTGCTCTTCAAGTCTCTGAGCTCCAAGAGGGAGGACCTGACTTTGAATTGTTCACTCTGAACAACCGCCAGCCCCGCTCCCTTAGGCAGGACTGGTTTCACAAGGTACATGTCACAAAGACCTTATTGATAAAACAAACAGGATGCAGTAAAGAAGCTGGCCAGATCCCGCCAAAACCAAGATGGTGATGAAAGCAACCTCTGGTCCTCCTCACTGCTCATTATAATATATATGCTAATTATAATATATTAGCATGCTAAGAGACACTCCCACCAGCACATGACAATTCACAAATGCCATGGCAACAGTCGGAAGCTACCCTATGTGGTCTAAAAAGGGGTGTGCTGGCAGGTGCCTGTAATTCCAGCTACTCGGGAGGCTGAGGCCTGAGAATTGCTTGAATCCAGGAGGTGGAGGTTGCAGTGAGCTGAGATCACCCCACTGCACTCCAGCCTGGGCGACAGAGCGAAACTCCATCGCAAGAGAATGGCACAGGCCAGTGTCTTCTCTCGGAGTTCAGTGGTTAGAATGTAAGACACAAATTTTCCCCTCTTGATGGGGAAAAATATTACCATTGAGAGAATAAAGGTGAATAGCACTGCTAGTTGCCACAATATCCATTCTCCTGTTTCTTTCATAGTCATAGAACCCCTGACTTTTCACTGGGCACAAGGCAGCCCAGAGGAAAGACCACATTTCCCAGGCTTCCTTCTGGCCAGGATGGCCATGCGACTACATTTAGAGAAATGAGATGTGATAAAGAATAATGTGTGTAAATTCTAGGTTGTATACTTAAAAGGCCCTCTACTTCCCATTTTCCCTTTCTTGCTGGCAGGAAACAGATGTAATGGCTAAATCTGGAGCAGCTGTCTTGGACCACAAGGAGAAAGCCAACAGTTGAAAATAATACATATGCATATACACACTCAGTCACACAGGATCCGGACTGGAAAGATATATACCAAAATGTTAGCCTAGTTAGCTCTAGGGGAGGGGAGGAATCTCCGGTGATTATTTTTTCTTCTTGGTTCTTTTTCTTTTTCTTTCTTTCTTTCTTTCTTTCTTTCTTTCTTTCTTTCTTTCTTTCTTTTCTTTCTTTCTTCTTTCTTTCTTTCTTTCTTCTTTCTTTCTTTCATTTATTTATTGAGACACAGTCTCACTCTTGTCGCCCAGGCTGGAGTGCAGTGGCACAATCAGCTCACTGCAACCTTTGCCTCCTGGGTTCAAGCAATTCTCCTGCCTCAGCCTCCCGAGTAGCTGGGATTACAGGTGCCTGCCACCACACCCACCTAATTTTTGTATTTTTAGCAGAGACAGGGTTTCACCATATTGGCCAGGCTGATCTCGAACTCCTGACCTCAGGTGGTCCACCCACCTCAGCCTCCCAAAGTGCTGGGATTACAGGCGTGAGCCACCATGCCCGACTGGTACTTTATTGTACTCTGAATTTTTCTTTGAACATGTTTCAAAATCCAACAAAAATAAAGAAAAGTAGGAAAAGAAGAGTCCTATAAATAGATCCTATTGTTTAATTCACCTACATTTGCTTCAGATCAGCCTCCAGAGGTCACATACACACACACTTGGACTTAGATTTTTTGGAATATTTGGCAGTATTTTCTGTGGGTTATGGAACTTTTTTTTCAGATGTTCTTTTTACTGAACAGAATGTCTTGGAGATGATCCCATGTCCTATGTATAGCGTGACCTCATTTCTTGTAACCAGCACAAAGCACTCCTTGGCTGGGCATGCTGGGGTTTACTGGGTGGCCCCTGTTGGTGGACATCTGCGCTGTTTCTGATGTTAAGCTACTGAAGGCAACGCAGCAGTGAACGTCCTCACAACCGCCTCTCTGTGCACCTGAATGAGGCTTTGGAGTCTCACACATGGGTGACTCTGTCATGTAGGTTCTCATCTGGCTTCCCTGCTTATTTGCTGCGTAACCCTCAGGCGACTTACTGCGCATCTCTGAGTCTCTGCCCCTTAATCTGTAAAACAGGGAAAATAACAAGCCTGACCCAAAAAAATTATTGTGAAGATAATAACAACTGAAATGTATCACGTGTTTACTGCACGCCAGGCACTTTCCTAAGATTTCTATGAGATTTCTAAGATTTATATAAGAAAGATTTCCCTTTCTTCACTTTTCTGAGTGCCTCCCCTGAATTAACTAATTTAGTACTCACAACAGGATGACATGAGGTCATGCTTAGACAGCTACCCTGAAAGTTTTTTAGAAGCTCCTGGCTTTCAGACAACCAGCATGAAATCCTCTGGCTAAATTTTCATATGGAAATGACTTCCATATGAAATACGGAAATACCCTTCCACTGACTTCCTAGGGTTGGTGGATGTATTAGTCTATTCTCTCGCTCTAATAAAGACATACCTGAGGCCGGGCATGGTGGCTCATGCCTGTAATCCCAGCACTTTGGGAGGCCGAGGCAGGTGGATCATGAGATCAGAAGTTCGACACTAGCCTGGCCAACATAGTGAAACCCTGTCTCTACTAAAATACAAAAATTAGCCGGGTGTGGAGGCGTGCACTGTAGTCCCAGCTACTCAGGAGGCTGAGGCAGGGGAATCTCTTGAACGTGGGAGGCGGAGGTTGCAGTGAGCCGAGATGGTGCCCTTGCACTTCAGCCTGGGTGACAGAGCAAGACTCTGTCTCAAAAATAAAATAAAATAAAATAAAATAAAATAAAATAAAATAAAATAAAATAAAGACATACCTGAGACTGGGTAATTTATAAAGGAAACAAGTTTAGTGGACTCACTGTTCCACATGGCTGGAGAGGCCTCACAATCATGGCTGAAGATGAAGGAAGAGTCAAGGGACATCTTCCATGGTGGCAGGCAAGGGAACTCCCCCCGATAAAAACATCAGATCTCTTGAGATGTCTTCATTATCACGAGAACAGCACAAGAAAAACCCGCCCCATAATTCAATTACCTCCCATGGGGTCCCTCCCATGACACGTGGGTATTATTACAATTCAAGGTGAGATGTGGGTAGGGACACAGAGCCAAACTGTATCAGTGGACCTGTGGACCTTGTAAAGTGCAAACACTCACATTATCTGGTGTAAATTAATGGCTACACATTCCTCCCAACCCTTATCCACACCCCTTTGCAATGTGACTCTGCTATTCTTCCCATCCAAGGTGGAGTCTGTTTCTCCACTGACTTGAAGCTGAGTGAGGCATGTGACTTGCTTTGACCAATAGCGTGTGACAGAAGTGACATCATGTGGTTTTCAGAGCCTCTGCCTCAAGAGACCTTGCAGCTTCAGTCTTGGACTTGGACCGTTGGACCCTTGGGCCTCTATGTAAGGGATGATGTCTGACCTAACAGAGCAAGAGTGACCGCAAGGAGGAGAACACAGACATTCCTGCTGACAATCAGCACCAATTGCCAGTCATGTGGATGAGGTCATGTTGGATCTCCCAGCCCCCCGACCCTCCTCTTAAATTTTTTGGAAGAGTTTGAGAAAGATTGATGTTAGTTCTTCTTTAAATGTCTGGTAGAATTCACCAGGGACTTGTCAAAGGTTTTTCTTTTTTGGATGGCTTTTGATCACTGCTTCATTACAGGTCTATAAAGATTTCCATTCTTCATGACTCAGTTTTGGTATATCATGTGTATCTAGGAATCTGTCCCTTGTCCCTTTCTTTCTTTCCTTTCTTTCTTTTTTTTTTTTTTTGACAGAATCTTGCTCTGTCACCCAGGCTGGAGTCCAGTGGCACAATCTCGGCTCACTGCAACCTCCATCTCTCAGGTTCAAGCAATTCTCCTGTCTCAGCCTCCTGAGTAGCTGGGACTACAGGCACGTGCCATCCATGCCAGGCTAATTTTTTGTATTTTTAGTACAGACGGGGTTTCACCATGTTAGCCAGGATGGTCTCAATCTCCTGACCTTGTGATCTGCCTGCCTTTGCCTCCCAAAGTGCTGGGAATACAGGCGTGAGCCACCACGCCTGGCCAGAATTTGTCCGTTTCATCTAGGTTCTCCAATTTGCTGGTACACAATTGTTCATAGTATTTTCTTATAATTATTTTTATTTCTGTAAGTTCAGTAGTACTGTCCGAACTTCCATTTCTGATTTTAGTAATTTGAATCTTCTTTTCTTAGCCAGTTTAGCTAAAGGTTTGTCAATTTGATTGATCAATTTTTTGTTTCTTTGATTTATTATTTTTTTATTTTTTATTTTTTTGAGACAGGGTCTTGCTCTGTTGCCCAGGCTGCAGTGCAGTGGCATGATCTCAGTTCACTGCAACTTCTGCCTCCCAGGTTCAAGTGATTCTCCTGCCTCAGCCTCCCGCATAGCTGGGATTACAGGTGTCCACCACCAGGCTCAGCTAATTTTTGTGTTTTTAGTAGAGATGGGGTTTCACCATGTTAGCCAAGCTGGTCTTGAACTGCTGGCCTCAAGTGATCCACCTGCCTCTGCCTTCCAAAGTGCTGGGATTATAGGCATGTGGCACCATGCCCAGCTTCAGTGATTTTTTTACCACTGTTTTTCTATACTCTATTTTGTTTACTTCCACTCCAATCTTAATTATTTTCTTTCTTCTGCTAGCTTTGGGTTTAGTCTGTGCTTCTTTCTCTAGTTCTTTTTATTTTTTATTTATTTATTTATTTTTTTGAGACGGAGTCTCGCTCTGTTGCCCAGGCTGGAATGCAGTGGCACGATCTCAGCTCACTGCAAGCTCTGCCTCCCAGGTTCATGCCATTCTCTGCCTCAGCCTCCAGAGTAGCTGGGATTACAGGTGCCCATCACCATGCCCGGCTAATTTTTGTATTCTTTCTGTAGTTCTTTAAGGTGTAGAGTTAGGTGGTTGTTTTGAGACTTTTCTCCTTTTTAAAAAAATTTTTTTATTTATTTTTTATTTTTTTGAGACGGAGTGTTACTCTGTCACCCAGGTTAGAGTGCAGTGGCACGCTCTCGGCTCACTGCAACCTCTGCCTCCTGCGTTCAAGCGATTCTCCCGCCTCAGCCTCCTAAGTAGCTGGGATTACAGGCATGTGCCACCATACCCAGCTAATTTTTATATTTTAGTAGAGATGGGGTTTCACCATGTTGGCCAGGCTGGTCTCAAACTCCTGACCTCAAGTGATCCGCCTGCCTCAGCCTCGCAAAATGCTGGGATTACAGGAGTGAGCTACCACGCCTGGCCCCTTTCTCCCTTTTTAGTGCAGGTCTTTACAGCTATAAATTTTTCTGCTTTCACTGAATCACGTAAGTTTTGGTATGTTATATTTTTATTCTCATTCCCTCATGGTGTTTTCCAATTTCCCTTGTGATTTCTATTTTGACACATTAGTTGTTTGAGTGTGTTTTTAATTTTCACATATTCGTGAATTATCTTGGTTTTCTTCTATTGATTTCTAGCTTCATTCCATTTTAGTCAGAGAAGGTACTTTGTATGATTTCAATCTTTTAAAATTTATTGTCCAGGTACGGTTGCTCACACCTGTAATCCCAGCACTCTGGGAGGCCGACTTAGGCAGATAACTTGAGGTCAGGAGTTCAAGACCAGCCTAGCGAACATGGTGAAACCCTGTCTCTACAAAAATATAAAAATTAGCTGGGTATAGTGGTGGGTGCCTGTAATCCCAGCTACTCTGGAAGCTGAGGCACGAGAATTGCTTGAACCCGGGAGGCTGAAGTTGCAGTGAGCTGAGATCATGCCACTGCACTTCAGCCTGGGCAACAGAGCAAGACTCCATATTAAAAAAAAAAATAAAAGATAAAAAAATCATTGATGTTTGTTTTGTGGTCTAACATATAGTCTGTCCTAAATAATTTTTCACGTACTCTTGAGAAGAATGTGTATTATCTTGTTGTTGTGTGAAATGTTCTATAGATGTCTTTTAGGTCTTGTTGGTTTAGTGTTGTTCAAGTCTTCTATTGCCTTCTTTTTTTTTTCTTTTTTTTTTTTTTTTTTTTGAGACGGAGTTTTGCACTTGTTGCCCAGGCTGGACTGCAGTGGTGTGATCTGGGCTCACGGAAACCTCTGCCTCCCAGGTTCAAGTGATTCTCCTGCCTCAGCCTCCTGAGTAGCTGGGATTACAGGCATGCGCCACCACACCTGGCTAATTTTGTATTTTCAGTAGAGACGGGGTTTCTCCATGTTGGTCAGGCTGGTCTCGAACTCCTGACCTCAGGTGATCTGCCCGCCTGGGCCTCCCAAAGTGCTGGGATTACAGGCATGAGCCACCACGCCCAGCCTCTATTGCCTTCTTTAGTCTTCTGTTTAGTTGTTCTATTCATTATTAAAAGTGGGGTTTTGAAGTCTCCAAATATTATTTTTGAATTGTCTATTTGCCCCTTCAATTCTTTCTGTTTTTGCTTCACACATGTTGGGGCTTTGTTGTTAGGGGCATATCTGTCTATAATTTTTATGTCTTCCCAATGGATCGATTGATCCTTTTACCATTATAAAATGTTCCTCTTTATCTTTTGTAACATATTTCATTTTAAAGTCTTTTTCCTGATATTAATATAGCAAATCAAGTTTTCTTATGGTTGCTGTTTGCGTGATATATTTTGTTCAGCCTTTAACGCCCAACCTACTTTTAACCTTTGAATCTTGAGTGTATCTTCTGCACACAGTATATAGTTGATCTTGGCTTTTTATTTAGTCAGGAAATCTCTCCCTTTTGACTTGATCCAATCACATTTAATGCTATCATTGAGAGAAGTTGGATTTATGTCTGTCATTTGACTTTTTATTTTCTATATGTCTCATGTCTTTTTTGTTCCTCTTTTCTTCCTTGACATCTTTTACACTAAACGAATATTTTCTAGTGTATTATTTAAATTTCTGTTTTTTGGATTTTTTGTTTGTTTTGTTTTTGTTTTTGTTTTTGAGACAGAATCTCATTCTGTCACCCAGGCTGGAGTGCAATGGCATGATCTCGGCTCACTACAACCTCCACCTCCCAGGTTCAAACAATTCTCCTGCCTCAGCCTCCCAAGTAGCTGGGATTATAGGTGCCTGCCACCACACCCACCTAATTTTTTGTATTTTCAGTAGGGAGGGGGTTTCACCATGTTGGCCAGGCTGGTCTCGAACTCCTGACCTCAGGTGATCCACCTACCTCAGCCTCCCAAAGTGTTGAGATTACAGGTGTGAGCCACCGTGCCCAGCCTTAAATTTCTTTAATAGCTTTTTCACTGTTCTGTTTGTTTGTCTTAATGACCAGTTTAGGCTTACTATATAGGTTTTAACTTATCAGAATTGACTTCAGATTTACAGTAACTTAATTCCAGTGATATATAGAAATATTACTCCTATATATTTCTATCTTTTTTTTTTTGGCAGATTTTTGTGCTATTGCCCAGGCTGGAGTGTGGTGGCGTGATCTTGGTTCACTGCAACCTCCACCTCCTGGGTTTAAGCAATTCTCCTCAGCCTCCCCAGTAGCTAGGATTACCAGCACATGACACCACACCTGGCTAATTTTTGTATTATACGTAGAGATACATGGTTTCAATCTATTATATGTAGAGATACATGGCCAGGCTGGTCTTGAACTCCTGGCCCCAAGTGACTGGCCTGCCTCGGCCTCCCAAAGTGCTGGGATTAAAGTTGTGAGCCACCGTGCCCGGTGACTCCTATATAGCACTATTCTCTCTTCTTCCTCTTTGCACTATTCTTTTTATATGTATTACATCTACATATGTTACAAAACCAACAGTACTTTGTTATAATTATTACTTTATATAGTTTTATGTCTTTTGAAGAAGCTGAGAGAAGAAAGGAGAGCAAGTATATATTAAAAGACTTTGTTTTATTAACTTTCTTACTTATAATTTCTGGTTCTCTTCATTTGTTCCTGTGGATTCCAGTTCCCATCTGGTCTCACTTTCTTAATCCAATACAGCTCTGCTCCCACTCACCTCCTGTGTGCTATTATTATCAAAATATATTACATTTCTATATGTCTTGGCCCCACAATACAATTATATACAAATTATTTTTAAAAATCTGTTAAGAGAAGGTGAATAAATATGCATTCTTACTGCCTTTCATAACGATCTACTTGCCTTTCCCAGAGCACTTTGGCTTTTGTGTGTGTGGATTCAAATTACTGTCTGAAGAACTTCCTTTAGTATTTATTGTAAGGTAAGTTTCCTGGCAACAAATTCTCAGTTTATGTTTATCTGGAAATATCTCTTTCATCATCACTTTTGAAAGATAATTTTGCTGGATGTAAGATTCTTGCTTGGTAGTTTTTGTTTATGCATTTTGAATATGTTGTCCCACTGCCTTAGGGCCTCCATCGTTTCACATGAGAAATCTGCTGTCGGTCTTATTTGGTGTTCCCTTATATGTGATGAGCTGTGTTTCTCTTGTTGCTTTCAAGATTTTCTTTTTATCTTTGGGTTTCAACATTTTCCTTTTATGTATCTGGTTGTTGACCACTTTGCATTTGTTCTACTCGGAGTTCATTAAGCTTCTTCAATGCATAATTCATGTTTCTCATCAAATTTGCAAAGGCTTCAGTGATTATTTTTGCACATTTTTTTCTGTTCCTTTCTCTCTTTGCTCTCCTTCTGTTATATATGTTATTGTGCATATGTTGGTGCACCTAGCTGTGTCCCACATTTCTCCAAGGCTTTGTTCATTTTTCTTCATATTTTTCTCTCTGTTCTTCAGACTGCGAAATCTCTATTGATCTGTCTTCAGATTCACTGAATCTTCCTTCTGCTGGCTCAAGTCTACTGTTGAGCCCCTCTAGTGAATTTTTCTTTTGCACTTTTCAACTCCAGAATTTCCATTAAGTTTTTTAAAATAGTATCTTCTTGTTTACATTCTCTGTTCATGAGACACAGTCATCACCGCTTCCCTTATTCTTGATTTTCGTTTTTGTTTTTCTTTTTGAGATGGAGTCTCTCTCTGTCACCCAGGCTGAAGGGCAGTGGCACAATCTCAGCTCACTGCAACCTCCGCCTCCTGGGTTCAAGTGATTCTCATGCCTCAGCCTCCCGAGTAGCTGGGACTACAGGCACCTGCCACCATGCCCAGCTAATTTTTGTATTTTTAGTAGAGATGGGGTTTCACCATGTTGGCCAGGCTGGTCTCAAATTCCTGACCTCAGGTGATCCACCCCTCTTGGCCTCCCAAAGTGCGGGGATTACAGGCATGAGCCACTGCACCCAGCCTACCTTCCCTTATTCTTTAAGCATGGCTTCCATTATTTCTTTGAACATATTTACAGTGGTTGCTTTGAAGTCCGTGCAAGTCTGACCTCTGAGCACTCTCACAGGTAGTTTCTGTTGACTGGTCTTTCCCTGTGTATGGGTCACATGTGTTTATTTCTTTGCAAGTCTTGAAATTCTTTGCTGGAAAATGAACATTTAAGATGATATAGTATAGCAACTTTGGGTCCCTGATCACTACCAAAATCGCCACTGCTTCTGAGGGCACTCTTAGGCTTAAATTTCTGCATACTCTGTTCTAAAGAAAGTCAGTTCCTTTATGGACAACTTTAAAGATCTGTGTTGTTATGACCTGCCTCTCTCTTGGGCAAAGCATCTGTGACACTGCTCTGGAGCTGGAGGCAGGGACAACAGTTCACTTCTCCCAGAGTAACCTTCTTGCTTTATGAGCAGGGCTGAGTTGGGGCAGTATTCTTAGTCTCTGGTCTTCTCAGCTTGCATCTCCAGGCATGGAACCTCTGCTTTAACAAGTAAGCTAAGACAAAAGCAACTGGGGCTTCAATATTTTTAGCCTGCTGCACTTGGCGTGGCCACCACCCTATGAGTGGGGACTGGGTAGAGGAAGGAAGATCCCAGTCTCCCAGCCACACCTACCTGGAGTTTAGCCTCTGTAAGATATAGCTGTTGGGAGGATGACAAATGCTGGCAGCCTTCCCTTCCTGGGGAGATGCTGTACCCCATCGACTAGGAGCTTGGGGGGAAATGACTCCCATCTTCTTGGCCCTGGCTGCTCACAGTTGAGTTTCCATAACAGTAAAATGGAATGGAGGGGAGAAAGAGAGTGGATTGTGTCTCAAGTTCTACAAACTCACTGTTCTTACCTAGATTTAGTAGATTTTCTTGAATAAGTGTTTCTTCACTTGCTGTATGCTCTTAGGACAATTTCCAGAGACTTCAAATGATTGTTTTTTAGAAATCATCATCAGTTGTTTTCACCAGAAAGCAGTCTGCAGTGTTCCTCACTCCACTGTTCTGGAAGTGAATCCCCTGCAGACCGTTTTTATGACCCAGCCTCTGAAATCATGGAGCATTGCTGTTGCCCTACCCTCTCACCCAGAGTCAAGGGGAGCAGTCAGATTCTCACCTTCCGATGGGAGGAGAACCAGACAGTTTACAGTGCATTTCAGAAACTGCCAAAAACCATACAGATTATCTCAATCAGTCTCACAACACCCTAAGATGTAGGTGCTATTATCTTTCCCACTGTATAGAGGGAGGAAAGGGAGGCAGAGATGGGTGAGGTCACCCAGTTCAAGGTGACAGAACTGAAATACAAACTCCAGTAGTGTGGCCTCTCTACACTAGCAACCATGATTCCGTCTGCCTCTCAGCCTCACATGGGCAAAAAGGACAGGGAAGAGTGCTCCAGGCCAAGGGGACAGCAGCAGCAAAGGCCCAGGGCAGGAGTGAGCTTGGCACCTCAAGGGCCTGAAGAGGAGCCCAGAGGGAGGAATAAGGGGTGAAGACAGGGATGGAAGCAAGGTTAGACCCTGTAAGGATGGGGTGGACTCAGAAAGGATTTAGGTCTTGATCAAAAGTGGTGGGAGCCATTGGAGGGTTTAGGCAGGTTGGGAGTGACATGCTCTGATTCCTGTTGTGAAAAGAGCCTTCGTTGGGATCCAGTGGGAGGGGCACGAAGGCACATGGGGCAACCCTTCCCACAGTCTTGTGGGCATCGTGGTCAGTTGTGGGCACCTCCCAGGAGTGGGCTAGCCCTGGAGCACCTGAGTGCGAGGAGTGAGGACCTTCTAGGAACCTCCTGGCACACAGGAGTGTGTGTGTGTGTGTGTGTGTGTGTGTGTGAGAGAGAGAGAGAGAGAGAGAGAGAGAGAGAGAGAGAGAGAGACTGTAATCTTCGCAGCCAAAAATCAATGCCTGCTGGGGTGGAGAGCAGGATTTTTCCCCTTGAAGTTTCTGGATCACCTCCTGTGCACATGGGCAGGGAGTTCTGCTGGTTCCCTCCTGCTTCTTTAGTGATTGCAAGGGAAACCTGTGGCTTCAGGCAGGATGTCAGATGGGGCAGTACTGGAGAAGATGGGAAGATTCCCTGGAGGGGTACCCCAGGAGGGCCTTACACACACCTGCCCCAATGCATACCTCCTCTACAGAGGGAGGAAGGAGGTGGAACAGGGAACCCTCTACCTCACACTGGGAGTGTTCACTAGCGAGAAGACTGGCAAGCCGAGGGCAGAGGGAAAGTTTGGTTAGATCATCTCTCCCCCTAAATCTGTTCTGGGCTCTAGAGCTAACAGTAGCCTTTCCTGCAAAGAACTGAGAAGGCCTCTCCTCCTCTAACCCCCACACGCACAACCTGTGTTGGCATAAAGATCTGGTCTGCCAATGCTCAAGAGACCCTCAAAAATGGCCCAGACCTGCAGTTACACATTGCCGTTTTTGAGGTTCCTTTTTGACACTGCAAGTCCTGTCCTCAGCACTCCCTTTCCTAGGATGGAAAACAAGAAAGTTTCCCCACCTCTTAAGCTGATTGATAATATTAATATATAACATTAATTGAGAGAGCACTTATATGGAAGATGGCATTGAGTCCCCAATGAAATACGTAATCATGAATGAGACTAATGAGGCTCAGAGAGGTTAAGTAACTGAACAAGGTCACACAGCTGGTAAGTGATAGAGCTGGACTTTGAACCCAGGTGTTCTGGCTCCAGAGCCAACAAGCATGATCACTCCACTGTGTTGCCTCCTTGAAGGTGGCCATTAGAGGATTGATTTCCTCCTGGCAAACGTTTAACATCTCTAGAGGGGAAAACTCCTGTTTGAAGCATTTGCCAATTGCCATAGTGTAAATACTCACCATTGCTGATTTCGAGCTACAAACATGATGTTACTGAATGTAGAGTTGGGTACAGATACACACGATTAGCTCTCCCAAGCTGGTGCAGGCCACTTGGTTGAGCAGCTTGAAAATTCAAGAAGGGACCAAGCAGGAGGTGGGCAAAGGAGAATTTAGTGTCTGTATTCGTTTGTTCTCACATTGGTATAATGAACTGAGACTGGGTAATTCATTTAAAAAAAGAAGTTTAATTGGCTCACGGTTCTGCAGGCTGTACAGGAAGCATGACTGGGGAGGCCTCAGGAAACTTACAATCATGGCAGAAGGCGAAGGGGAGGCAGGCACGTTCTACATGGCTGGAGCGGGGTAGGAGGAGGTGCCACACACTTTTAAACAAGCAGATCTCGTAAGAATCCATTCACTATCACAAGAACAGCAAGGGGGATGTTTGCCCCCAAGATCCAATCACCTCCCACCAGGCCCCTTTTCCAACACTGGGGATTACAACCCCACCTGAGATTTGGGAGGGGAAACAAATCCAAACTATATCAGTGTTTTGTTTGTTTGTTTGTTTTCAGATGGAGTCTTGCTCTGTCGCCCAGGCTGGAGTGCAGATGTGCAATCTTGGCTCACTGCAACCTCCGCCTCCTGGGTTCAAGCGATTCTCCCATCTCAGCCTCCCGAGTAGCTGGGATTATGGGTTCATGTCACCACACCTGGCTAATTTTTTGTATTTTTAGTAGAGACAAGGTTGCACCATGTTGGCTAGGCTGGTCTCAAACTCCTGACCTCTAGTGATCCATCCACCTTGGCCTCCCAAAGTGTTGGGATTACAGGATGAGTCATTGTGCCCAGCCCACATCAGTGTCTTTAAAGAGAATTTTCCCACCAATGGGCTTGTCGGAGCCTCCAGCAATCTGAAGAGCTGATTTCGATTCTTTTTTTTTTTTTTTTTTTGAGATGGAGTCTCGCTCTGTCGCCCAGGCTGGAGTGCAGTGGCATGATCTCGGCTCACTGCAAACTCTGCCTCCCAGGTTCAAGTGATTCTTCTGCCTCAGCCTCCCGAGTATCTGGGATTACAGATGCGTGCCACCACACCTGGCTAATTTTTGTATTTTTACTACAGACGGGGTTTCACCATATTGGACAGGCTGGCCTGGAACTCCTGACCTCGTGATCCGCCCGCCTCAGCCTCCCAAAGTTCTGTGATTATAGGCATGAACCACTGTGCCTGGCTCTGATTCTTGTCTTACAGATACAGAAGCTGAAGTGAGCTTTATGCAAACTGAGCTTTATGCATTTGTACAACAGTCACTGAGCATATACCCTGAGTGGGGCCCTGGATGGAAAGAACCAGCACTAAGGATGCAAAGTTAACCTGGATCAGGTTCTAGCCTGCCTAACGGAGCTTGCGGGCTGACAACAGGTACACAAGCATGCACGCGTGGCTCTATGGAGCCTCCATTCAGGTGGCAAGTATGCCAGTCAAGAGTGTGGGTTCTCGTCCCGGACTTCCTGCCTTCAAATTCAGGCTGTACCACTCACTGGCTATTGAAACCACCTTTGCAAAAATTGTAACTGAGGAAATTATGACAATAGCCCTTTCCTGAAAAGATCCACTTCTTGCCCGGGGACCAGTCTGCCTTTGTAAGACTAACAAATTAGCTACAAGATTAGAAATCAAGGTTTAGGGGCTGTGCAGCCTCTGACAGCAAGGGTCTGAACCTCCCCAAGTTGTTCCTGGGGACAGTGTCACTATTGCAAAACCTAAGATCAGTGCTTGAGATATTTTGCAGATCTTGCACTACAGCAGCTGAGGGATCAGCTGACACCACCCGGATCGGTAACCTAGCTTAACCAGTTCTGCGATCCTACCCGGGAACAAGGTGAACGCCTTCGGGCTGGGTGGTACACTATTTGACCTTGGGCTAGTTACTTAACCATTCAGTGCCTCAGTTTCCTCATCTGTAAAGAGAAGAGATAATAATATACCTACCTCATAACATTCTTAGGAGGATTATCTGAATTAATGAATTAATGCGTGAGCAAAGGGCTGCGAGCAGGCCTAATACATAATGAAAGCTCAATAAATGTTAGCTGTTTTTATTATGTAACTTCGGAAATGCAGCTATGTGCGCTCAGAAAGAGAGAGAGAAGGGAGAATGATGTACACAATGTGGGCGATTCTGCCTGGACATGATCCCAGCTGTGAGAGAGATGTGGGGGTGTGGATCCACAGCTCGGAATCCCACACACCCCTGAGAGAGAACAGAACCTAAAATTACAGTTCGCAAATGCATGCAATCACCACCATATACTGCTGTTCTTTATGGTCCGTGCATTTATTGCTGCAAAGGACTATATTTAGAAAACTGCCCATATTATACTTTATGAGTGACTTAAAGGATTTTTAGGAGTTCTTTAAAAGTTTTTGTTTATTTTTATAATTTTCTCCTTGCGTTAGAACCTAACACTCACATTAAATGCTCTCCCACAGTAAATATATTTCGAAATGACAAGTGCTAGAATAAATGGGTGAGGATTTTCCAAAGGCTGTTTTGCTGATAGTTGGGGATAGGGAAGGCAAAGCTAGACCCCCAACCTCTGGACTCTGAGTCCAGTGTTCTTTCTTCTGTAATCAGGACCCTGGGGGGACAACCCTGACATACTTCCAAGGACCCTGGACTTCAGCTCCTGGCTCCCTGCTCAGAAGGGAGGGGTGGATCGTCTAGGGCCCAAGGCAGAACCTGAACTGAGTTCCCATTCTAAGAGGGTGTTTGGAGTGAGGTGAAAGGGAGACAGGGATTCTAACCCCAGCTTCACAGCTGGCTCTCTCCGTGTGAGCTCCCTAAGCCTCAGCACCCTAAGCGTGTACAGAGGTAAATATTCTGCGCACAGCAGCTGCCCAAGGCCATATTCCCTTCCCTCCGCCCCGCTGTGCACATTGGCTGCAATGTAGCTTTAGGCCAGTAGGTGGTGGTGCCGCCCAAGAAGCAGGAAAAAAGCAGGGAAAGAAAGGGATGTGCCTGGATGGTGGATCCACTGAGGTCCTGCTGATCCCAGGCCAGGAAGCGGGGACATTGAGAGCCGAGATAGGAGTCCAGGCCACTTGAGTGCTTGCCTATGCCCCACATATGAAGGCACGCCAAGAGGCTCACATACGTGCATAACCAAGGACCAACCTTGCGCCTGAAGGAGGCCTTTCACATATGAGCTCCTCGAATCCGCACACTTGCCCTATGGAGAGTGGCAGTATGGTCCCATTTTACAAGTGAGAAAACTGGACCAAGAGAGGCAAAGTGACCTGCACTAGGTCACACAGCAAGTCCATGGCAGAGATGGATTTGATCCACTCCTGTAATAATATTAACAGCCAACTCCCATGTAATTCCTGCATGTGCTGATACTGTCCTAAGCATGTCTGTACCTATGCACTTATTCAGTCCTCATGACAGCCCTACGAGGTAGGTATGAGTAGTATTTTTACTCTCACGTTACAGAGGAGGAAATGGAGGCACTGAGAGGTCAAGCAACTTGCCCAAGGTCACACAGTCAGATCTGCGATTTTTTTTTTTTTTTTTTTTTTTTTGAGACGGAGTTTCGCTCTTGTTGCTCAGGCTGGAGTGCAATGGCGTGGTCTCGGCTCACTGCAACCTCCACCTCCTGGGTTCAAGCGATTCTCCTGCCTCAGCCTCCCGAGTAGCTGGGATTACAGGCAGGCGCCACCACGCCCGGCTAATTTTGTACTTTTAGTAGAGACGGGATTTCTCCATGTTGGTCAGGCTAGTCTCGAACTCCCTGCCTCAGGTGATCCGCCCACCTCAGCCTCTCAAAGTGCTGGGATTACAGGTGTGAGTCACAGCACTCTGCCTGATTTTTTTGTTTTGTTTTGTTTTTTGTTTTTGTTTTTTAATAGGCATCCTAATAGGTGTGAAGCGGTATCTCGTGCTTGCAATTCTGATTTGCATCTCCCTAATGATTACTGACGCTGAGCATCTTTTCCTCTGTTTATTGGCCACTTGTACATCTTTGGAGAAATGTCTATTCAAATCCTTTGCTCATTTTTTCATTTGGTTGTTTTTGGTTGTCGTTTTTCCTCTCTTTGCAATTAAATGACCTGCACACTGAGGCAAATTACTCATTCGGGCCCTGCGTTCCTTCTCTCGTGCTGCATCCAGGCCTGGACCCTGCCCTACATGCTGGGGATGTGGTGGAGATCAAAACCCAAAGATTCCTGCCCCATGGGGTGTCCTCTCCAGTGCGGCAACCAGACACTAGCGTGATGTCAGATGACACAGCAGGTTTTGGGGGTTTTTTTGTTTGGTTTTCCTTTTTTGTTTTTGTTTTTGTTTTGTTTTGTTTTTGAGACAGAGTTTTGCTCTTGTTGCCCAGGCTGGAGTGCAATGGCGCGATCTCGGCTCACTGCAACCTCCGCCTCCCGGGTTCAAGCAATTCTCCTGCTTCAGCCTCCCGAGTAGCTGGGATTACAGGGGTGAGCCACCACACCCAGCTAATTATTATTATTATTATTATTATTATTATTATTATTTTGTATTTTTTAGTAGAGACGGGGTTTTACCACTTTGGCCATGCTGGTCTCGAACTCCTGACCTCAAGTGATCCACCCACCTCGGCCTCCCGAAGTGCTGGGATTACAGGCATAAGGCACTGCACCCAGCCTGGTTTTATATCAAGGGGCATCGACAGGCAGCCTCAGGCCCCCTCCAGCCCTTGTGCCTGGCATGTGAGCCCCTCACAGCAGGTTTGAAAAGTCTAGAATTTCCAGCATTTTAAAAAAGTTTGGAGAGTTAACATCAAAATCTAGATACATAGCTTCTCTTGAAAAGTTGAAAGCTGAAACCACTCAGGCTTGTTTTCCACCTCAAAGCCATCACCCGGATCAAGGCACCAGCTTAAAAGGGCTGCTTCACCCAAGATATTAATAACATCTCTCCTGTGGGCAACCACTCCAAAGTCTGATCTTGCAGAGTACAGAGGCATGACCTCCCTGTCTCAGGCTGTGACATGTCCTAAGGGCTGGCCCAGCTCCTGATGGGACTGGTCAAGGCCTCTATTGCAACTGCCCGAGCCTGCTTCCCTGGCTCCTCCAAGATCCTAAGAGCACTACCTGGAAAACCACCCACATGCAGATTTCCATCTCAGGAGCTGCTTCCCGGGACCTTGACCTTCAAGATGGGACATGAGCTCACTGGTCCCCACAGCCTCCTCCTGGCCCACCTGAGTTTTTTTTTGAGTTTTCACCTCTGGTTTTGTCCTGGACAGGACATAACCCCATAGTGATTGCAATAAGAGGAGCTTACCCTTCCAAGCCAGGAGCCATGTGCTAGGCAGTATTCTCAGATATGTTCATTTCATTCTCACAATAACCCTATGATTGTTACATACCTATTAAAATATCTAATTTTTTTTTTTTTTTGAGACAGAGTTTCACTCTTGATGCCCAGGCTGGAGGGCTGGAGTGCAATGGTGTGATCTCAGCTCACTGCAACCTCTGCCTCCCAGGTTCAAGCAATTCTCCTGCCTCAACCTCCCAAGTATCTGGTTCTCCCTGTTGGTCAAGCTCGTCTCGAACTCCTGACCTCAAGTGATCCGCCCACCTCTGCCTCCCAAAGTGCTGGGATTACAGGCATAAGCCACAGCGCCTGGCCTAAAATATCTAAATTTTTAAAAACCTGACAATACTAAGTGCTGGAGAGAATGCAAAATGGTATAGCTACACTGGAAAACAGTTTGTCAGTTTCTTTCTGTTTTTTGGGGTTTTTTTTAGGCAGGGTCTCACTTTGTCACCCAGGCTAGAGTGCATTGGCACAATCTCACCTCACTGCAACCTCCGCCTCCCACCCTCAAGTGATCCTCCTACCCCAGCCTCCCAAGTACCTGGGACTACAGGCACTCACCATCACGCCCAACTAATTTTTGTACTTTTAGTGGAGATCGGGTTTTGCCATGTTGCCCAGGCTGGTCTCAGACTCCTGAGCTCCAGCAATCCTCCAACCTCGGCCTCCCAAAGTGCTGGGATTACAGGCATGAGCCACATCAGATTCTTTGTAGTTTTGTTCTTTGGTTTTTTGGGTTTTTTTAGACAGAGTCTTACTCTGTTGCCCAGGCTGGAGTGCAGTGGCATGATCTCGGCTCACTACAACCTCCACCTACTGGGTTCAAGGGATTCTCCTGCCTCAGCCTCCCAAGTAGCTGGCACTATAGGTGCATGCCACCATGCCCGGGTAATAATTTCTGATAAAATTATAAATACACTTACAATATGACCCAGTAATTCTACTCCAGGGTATCTACTCTGGAGAAATGACAGTGTATGTCCACACAGAGATCTATACACACATGTTCATAGCAGCATTATTTATAATGCTCCCAATTAGGAGTGACCCAAATGCCTTTCAACTGGTGAATGGATAAGCTGTGGTGTATCCAGCAGTGAAATACTACTCAGCATCCAAAAGGAACAGACTTCTGATGCATGCAACAGCATGGATGCATCTCAACTGTGTTATGCTGAGTGAAAGAAGCCAAACTCACAAAAGCTTCATACTGCAGGATTCTGTCTATGTAACATCCTTGCAAAGGCAAAACTTATACAGATAGAAAACAAGGCATGGTGGTTGCTAGGTATATTTGTTTGTAAAGACTACTGTAAAAAAGTACCACACACTGAGAGGCTTAAAACAACAGAAGTGTATTCTCTTTCAGTTCTGAAGCCAGGCATTTGAAATCAAGGTGTTGGCAGAGCCACTCTACCTCTGGAGGCTCTAGAGCAGAATCCATTCCTTGCCCCTTCTGGTTCTGGGAGCCTCCTGGTGTTCTTTGCTTTGGGCCACATCACTCCAACCTCTGCCTCTTAATTACATCTGCAAAGATCCTTTATCCAAATAAGGTAACATTTACACAGTTCAAGGATTAGAATCACTAATTTTTTTATTTTTTTTATTTTTTTGAGACGGAGCCTTGCTGTTGCCCAGGCTGGAGTGCAGTCATGTGATCTCGGATCACTGCAACTTCCAGCTCCTGGGTTCAAGCAATTCTCCTGCCTCAGCCTCCGGAGTAGCTGGGATTATAGGCGTGCATCACCACACCTGGCTCATTTTTGTATTTTTAGTAGAGATGGGTTTTTGTCATGTTGGCTAGGCTGGTCTCAAACTCCTGGCCTCAAGTGATCCACCCACCTTGGCGTCCCAAAATGCTGGGATTATAGGTATGAGCCACCCTGCCCGGCCTAGAGTCACTAACTCTAGATGACCTTTATTCATGCTACCATATCAGGTAACACAGGGAAGGGTATTGACTACAAGGGGCATGAGGCAACATTTTTCAGCGATGGAAATGTTCTATATATTAATTGTGGTGGTGGTTACATAACTTACAAACTTGTCAAAACCTACGGAACTACTGAATACGGTGGTGTGAGCCAGCCACTCAGAAGGCCAAGGCTGGAGAACTGCATGTGCCCAGGAGTTCAAGACCAGCCTGGGCAATATAGCAAGACTCTGTCTCTAGGGAAGACACACACACACACACACACACACACACCTATAAACTATGCATTATACCCCCAAGTTACCCTAGTTGTACGTGGTAGAACCGGGGCTGAATGAAGGATGAATGAGGCCGGCTGGTACCAGGGTCTGTTCTCAATGTTATCAATGCACTATTATTTTGGGGGGAAATGAGCTGGGGTGGGAGTTGTGGGTTCCACTGCAAAAGAAAGTTTCAGAATGACAGGACTAGACGGACTCTCCCACAGCGGTGACATGTCACGATTCTGCAGTTCTTTGGCTTTTAGAATTTCTGCTTCAGAATTCCGTAAGGCTGAAGATGCTGCACACTTTGGAGCCAAGAGGGCAGTTGTCTGGGATGCTCTGGCTGGGTGGGGGAGGGGAGAGGACGATGGAGGTGGATGAAAATAATGGGAGGGGGGTCTGACCCCTCTCCCCACAGAGCACTCACACCCTGTCCCCAGGGACAAGGCCTCTGTCCCCTCCATTCACTCACCCCAGCTGATGCCACACACCCCCACCAGAGGCCTCCCCACCTCCCCTTATTGTCTGAAGGGCTCAGATGGAGGGGCTGCCCATTAACCCCTTCCTGGCCTCATTGATTCACTCTGCAGCTGTCACACCAGCGGCCTCAGGCCGGAGCAGGAGAGGACTTGGTAGTTAATCACAATTAGAGAGCAGCATGTCAGCTGCGAGGCTGGCCTCCTTCATCGGCTGCCAGCCGGCCTAGGCCGAGGGACAGCCTGCAGCAGCCATGCAGCAGGTTCTGAGACCTGCAGAGGCAAAGAGAGGATAGCCCCTTCCCGGTTCATTCCTGGAGACTTCCTCCAAAATCCCAGTCAGGTATCCTCCATCGTCAGAGCTGCATCCAGTAGCTTTCACGCCCACCAAGTGCCCCCTCACCAGCACCTCTGCCTGGTCCTCACATGCTGGGCTTCTCCTCTCCACTGAAATGCCTCCTCCTCCAAGAGGGCTTCCCTGACCACCCTGGCTAATGTGGCACCGTTCCCAGTCCCTCTCTATCCCACGCCCTTCTCACCTGTTTTGTTTTGTTTTGTTTTGTTTTGTTTTTCCAAAGCACTTGCCACTAGCTGGAATTGTCTTAGGTATTAACTGGTTTTGTGTGTGTATTCATTTCCTGGGACTACAGTTAACAACCACAGGCCAGGTGCGGTAGCTCATGCCTGTGATCTCAGCACTTTGGGAGGCCAAGACAGGCGGATCAGTTGAGACCAGGAGTTCAAAACCAGCCTGGCCAACCCAGTGGAACCACGTCTCTATTGAAAATACAAAAATTAGCCAGGTGTGGTGGCAGGTGCCTGTAATCCCAGCTACTCCAGAGCCTGAGGCAGGAGAATCACTTGAACTCAGAAGGTGGAAGTCACACTGAGCCAAGATCACACCATTGCACTCCAGCCTGGGTGACAGAGTGAGACTCTGTCTCAAAAATAAATAAATAAATAAAAAATTTAAAAAAAGAACAAATAACCACAAACCAGGTAGGTTAAGACAACTGAAATGTATTCTCACAGTGCTGGAGGCTAAAAGTCTGAAATCAAGGTGCTGGCAAGGCCATGCTCTCTCTGAAAGCCCTAAGGGAGGACACTTCCTCGCTTCTCCCCAGCTTTTATGACTGCAAGCCTCCTTGGCCTTCTTTGGCTTGTGGATGCATCACTCCCATCTTCGCCTCTGTGGTCACGTGGTGTTCTCCTCTGTCTGTTTCCCTCTTTAAGGGCACCAGTCATTGGAGTAGCCCACTCTAATCCAGTATTACCTCACCCTGACCTGACTACATCTGCCTAAACCCTGTTTCCAAATAAGGTCACAATCACAGGTCCCAGGGTTAGAGCTGGGATGTATCTTTTTGGCAGACACAATTCTCCCACAACAGTGTGTTTTCTCTGTATCTTCTAAGAAACCAGGGCTCTGTTGGTTCTTGTCATGGAATGCATTCTTTATGGAGCCATATTTAACTTAAAGACAGCACATTTTATCAAAGTTTCTACCCCAGGCCAGATCTGGGCCTGGGAAGAGGAGACGCTGCTGGGAGTCTCAGGGCAGGAGAAGCCTGCTGTCTGAAGCAGAAACAAGGAAGCAGGTTCCCCCATAAAAGTGGCTCCCACACATCTCCAGGACTCTGGGGTCCAGCTCACAGAGAGCTCTGGGAAACACGTGTTGATCTGATAGATGAGGAAGGGGGAAGGCAAAGTGCAGCAGGTCCAGTGAGACCCGAGGGACCAACTCAGGCAGGGGGCTGGGGAGAATTCACCGAGGAGCTGAGCACTCAGGGAATGGCACATATGCACTTAGGCCAACCAGAGGGAGCCAGGCACTGAGCTGTCTCTGCAGGGAACAGAAAAGTGGTTGGAGAGGATGCTGCCTGAGTGGGGCCACATAAGGCCAGGACAGCTCAGAGTCTGAACTTCGTCCAGATTGCCGGGAAGAGCCATTAGGAGATTTAAAACATGAATGTGGTGATGTCACGTGTGCATCTAACTGATCTTTTCAGTTTTAGTTTTTAATTAGGTAGTACATTCAACTGGTTTAAGATTCAACAGGTATAACAGGGTATGGCCCAAAGTGTCCCTTTTCCCCAGCCCCCAGCTACCCAGTTCCTCTCCCACCGACAATCACTATTACAAGTCTCTTCTAGACAGTCAATGCAGATACAAGCAAATTTCCTTGCTTTTTAAACATACCGGATTCCATAATTTAAACATTGTTCTGCACCCTGCTTTTTAAAAATATCAAGGTATAATTTACATGCAGTGAAATGCACCTGTGTAATCAACACCCCAATCATGATACAGAACATTTCCAGCATCCCAAGAAATTCTTTTATGCTCCTTCCCAGTCCATCCCTCCACCCCAGAGGCAGCCACTGCTCTGCTTTCTGTCATCATAGATTGGTCTGTTTTGCCTCTTCTAGAATTTCATATAAACGGCATCATTACAACATGCTATTTTTTGTATCCAGCTTGTTTTCATTCAGCATGTTTTGAGATTCATCCATGTGGTTGCAGACATTGGATCACTCATTTAAACTCCAGTGTAATATTTGACTCACCAGTTTATCCATTCATTGGCTGTTCGATCTTGGGTCACTTCCAATTGTTGTCTATCACATGTTAAACTCTGTTGAACATTTGCATAGAAGTCCTTGTGGAGCTATATATACATATATATTTTTATTTTGAGCAAAAACCTAGAGGTGAACTTGCTGGGTCATAGGAGAGATGTATGTTTAACTCTATAAGAAACTGCCAAACTGTTTTCCAAAGTGAAACATCTTAAATACCATTTCATATCACTGCATTGAGAGTTTCCTCATGTGTGTTTGTGGCCATCATTCTCCATTGTATAAATGTCCCATAATTTGTTTAACCAGTCCCCTATTACAGGACACTTAGGTTGTTTCCAGTCTTTTGCTGTCACAATGCTGCAGTGAATAACCTTGTAAACGTGTCAAATGTCACATGGGTTAAGCAAACCTATAGGACACACTGCTAGACATGGAACTCCTGAGCATGCATAGACTGATGGTCATTTCCCAATATCCAGACTGCGCTTTTTCTGATACTTTTTTTTTTGAGACAGAGTTCTGCTCTGTCACCCAGGCTGGAGTGCAGTGGCGTGATCTCAGCTCACTGCAACCTGTGCCTCCCAAATTCAAGCAATTTTCCTGCCTCAGCCTCCTGAGCAGCTGGGACTACAGGCACATGCCACCACACCCGGCTAATTTTTGTATTTTTAGTAGAGACGGGGTTTTTCCATGTTACCCAGGCTGGTCTCGAACTCCTGACCTCAGGTGATCCACTAGCCTCGGCCTCCCAAAGTGCTGGGATTACAGGTATGAGCCACCACGCCTGGCCATGGACTGAACTTTTTCTTTGAAATAAGAGCCTCAATTTTCATCTGGACACATGGTGCCTAGAACACAGATCATATTTCTCAGCCTCCTTTGTAGCTTAGTGTAGTGATGTGATCAAGTTTAGCCAATGGAACATCAACAAGAAGATTGTATGTGACTTCCGAAAGAGTCTTTAAGGGAACCTCCCTCCCTCCTTGGCTCCTTTCTCCTTTCTAATGACTAAAAGACTCTCCATCTGGGGGCTGGGCGCGGTGGCTCACACCTGTAACCCCAGCACTTTGGGAGGCCGAGGTGGGTGGATCACAAGGTCAGGAGATCGAGACCATCCTGGCTAACACAGTGAAACCCCATCTCTACTAAAAATACAAAAAATTAGCCAGGTGTGGTGGCACGTGCCTGTGGTCCCAGCTACTCAGGAGGCTGAGCAGGGGAATCACTTGAACCTGGGAGGCAGAGATTCCAGTGAGCGAAGATCAGGCCACTGCACTCCAGGCTGGGTGACAGAGGGAGACTCCATCTCAAAAAAAAAAAAAGACTCTCCATCTGGGGATGCAGATGTGAGGGCTGCTGTTTGAGCAGCCATGTTGGGCCATGAAGTGGAAACCATGTACTGAGGGGGTAGCATAATAAGACAAAAGGAGTTTAGGTTCCTGAACCGTAGAGCACCATGCCAGTTTTAGACTGCCTGCTTTAGACTTTATTTACATGACAGAAAAATGCCTCTATTGGCTGAGTGTGGTGGCTCACACCTGTAATCCTAGCACTTTGGGAGGCCAAGGCGGGTGGATCACCTGAGGTCAGGAGTTCAAGACCAGCCTGGCTAACATGGTGAAACCCCATGTCTACTAAAAATACAAAAATTAGCTGGAGGCTGAGGCAGAAGAATCGCTTGAACCCAAGAGGTGGAGGTTGCAGTGAGCCAAGATCACACCATTGCACTCCAGCCTGGGTGACAAAGGGAGACTCTGTCTCAGAAAAGAAGAAGAAGAAGAGGAGGAGGAGGAGGAGCAGGAGGAGGAGGAGGAGGAAAAGAAAAATGCCTCTAACACCAGGACTTTTTTTTTATTTTCTTTTTTTTTTTAGAAGGAGCCTCGCTCTGTCACCTAGGCTGGAGTGCAGTGGTGTGATCTCAGCCCGCTGCAGCCTCTGCCTCCTGGGTTCAAGCGATTCTCCTCGTGCTTCAGCCTCCTGAGTAGCTGGTGTACACCACCACGCCCAGCAAAGTTTTGTATTTTAGTAGAGACAGGGTTTCACCATATTGGCCAGCCTGGTCTCGAACTCCTGATCTCAAGTGATCCGCTTGCCTCAGGCTCCCAAAGTGCTGGGATTACAGGCTTGAGCCACCACACCCGGCCTAACCCATGATTATTATGCGGTTTCTGTCATGTGCAACCAGCAGGTTACAGATCCTGTGCATTTGTGATTTTGAAAAGTAGTGCCACCGAGCTTTGCTTTTAAAAAGGTCATTTTGGAGGATGGGTGCAGGCAGATTGAAGGGCAAAATAAGGGATACAGGGAGACCAGTGAGACAACTGGACAGGAGTCAAGGGCGAATGATGCCTAAACCCTTACAAGGGTGAGGGCAGCCAAATCCTCTCCAAATCTAAAGGGGAGAAGGATAAACTGGAAATGATGAAACGACCTGACAACCCACCCTCAGCCCACGCTTGCAGGTGGCCCTGTGCCATCTGGCCCTGGCCCACTTACCTACCTCACTGATCACCTCCCTTCCCCTCGCACAGTAAGTACAGGTTACTCTCCCCAGAGTGCACCTTACTTGCCCGTACTGCAACCCCTTTGCAATAGCTGAAACCTCTACCTGCAACGCCCTCATCTCCCTGGACCCCCACCCCTTCACCTGGTCATCTTAGGCCAGACTTCCTCCAGAGAGCCATCTGGGACTCTTCCTCTCCCGAAGGGCCTCCCCGGGCCCTCATCCCCTGTGCGGCCCTTACTCTATCACGTGCAGGGAGGGCTGCATTCTGACGGTCTGCTTCCAAGTCCATCTGCAGCGCGAGGCTGAGCGCCCTTTCCTGGTGAGGTTGGCCACTCAGAGGGGCCCAGCTCCCGACAGGGCATTTAAAGGTACGGCCCGCTTGCCCTGTTCTCAGCACTTCACCCTCAGCTCGTACCGTAGAGCCACCCGCTGTAAGGTTGAGAAAAAGGTGAACGAGCGAGTGAGCGAGGAATGGATGAGGCCCCACCAGGGGGCGACGGCGCCTCGCCACGAAGCCCGGGGCGGAGCAGGAGACGGAGAAGCCGCTTCCCCAGCGCCCCCTCCTCTGAGTCTCGGCGCCGCGCTCCGCAGCCCCACCGGGGAATCGCCTCGCCCCGCCCGCCGCCTCCGCGCCTCAGATAATTGACTCGAACCGATGAAGCGCTGATCGCGGCGCCTTTGTGCGCGCCGCCTCGGCACTGCCATGGAAAGCGGGGTCCCCTCCCCCGCCTCCGCAGCTGGCCCGGAGTCGGCCCGAGCCCCCTGGACGGGACCAGGGGACCCCCAAGCCGGCCGGCGCCCCGCCCGTCTGCTCCCCACCCCCACCGTCAGCTGCGGACCCGGCCCGGCCGGGAAGGGTGGGCGAGGGCTTCCTGCGGCGCCTCCGGGGTCCGCACCCCCTTCCCTCCTGCGCCGCCCCCGCGGGGCCGAGCTGAGCGCGCGTCCCGGACCCCGGCCCACGCGGCGGGGGTGTGTCCCGGAGGCGGCGGTGGAGTTGTGTTCCCGTTGAGGGAGTAACAACAGCGGGGGAAGCCCGAGTACGGAAGGGAACCAGTGGAAAAGCCCCGCACGCAAGCACCAGTCCGTTCCCAGGCCCCCGGAGGGCCTTATGGAAATATAATATCCCGCCGGGCGCGGTGGCTCCCGCCTGTAATCCCAGCACTTTGGGAGGTCGAGGCGGGCGGATCACCTGAGGTCGGGAGATCGAGACCAGCCTGGCCAACACGGAGAAACCCCGTCTCTACTAAAAATTAAAAAAAAAAAAAAAAAATTTAGCCAGGCGTGGTGGCGCACGCCTGTAATCCCAGCTACTCGGGAGGCTGAGGCAGGAGAATCGCTTGAAGCCGGGAGGCGGAGGTTGCGGTGAGCCGAGATCGCGCCATTGCACTCCAGTCTGGGCAACAAGAGCGAAACTCCGTCTCTCCCTCTCTCTCTCTCTCTCGCTCTCTCTCTCTCTCTATATATATATTATATATATTAGATATTATATATATTAGATATTATATATATTAGATATTATATATATTAGATATTATATATATTAGATATATATAGATATTCTATCCCATTCTATTATGTGTGTGTTTGTGTGTGTGTATTAACAGGCGACAGATAACACAGGAAAACAAGTTGGACGTAACCAATTTAAACAATGCAGTGGGCTTCGGTTTTTGAATTTCTTTTACAAGATTGTTTCCGCTTCACCCTCACTCCCCATGGCTGTCAGTTCAGGGGGTATTTCCCCAGAGAGTTTTCTCTGCATGCACACTCATAAATGTGTCTGCACATACACACGTATTAAGCTGGATAGAATCTCGCGCCACTAGCTACGGGTCGCTTTATTTTACCTGACAAATAATGTAGGGATCTTTTCATGGCGTGGTTGCTGAGGAAAGAGGCTGGGCTACCATAGACCACACGTTTTAGCTCCCACCCGGCCCCTTCAGCCTGGGCGTGCCCTGCCATCAAGCTCGTGTGCCTGTGCACCACCCAAGTTCATCTGTGGGTAGAGGCTCTGTCCTTGAGTCCTTGTGTGAATGGGTGGGGTGGGGTCTGCGTGTCCCTGGGCTCCTGGGAACCTGTGAGGCCTGTGAACAGCCTTTCGTCAGAGAGAAGTGGAATGATAATAACTGTAAAGAAAAAATATCCAAAACTTGGAAATAAGACAAAAAGGGTGTCTGTGTGCCCTTTCAATATCAAGCGAAGGCAGTGTCCGATGAGCCTGGGTCACCTGATCCTAAGCAAAGTTACCTGGTAACTTGTAAAAAGTGCACGAGTTGCAAATGATTTCTGACCTGTAGAAGAAATAACGCTAAAGCTTATGGTTTTGGTGCCCTGTAAGACATTAACCTATGTCGTAGCTAACTTTGCCATTTTATCCTCCTTTGAGTCAGCTTTGCCATCCTACCGGTTCCATCCTTAATGAGTTAAATAACACTTTGACATGTGCTCACTATACATTTGTATAAGATCCATGTTTTCAACTTTCTGAAAATAATTTTTGACCCAGTTACCCTTTCTCAAAGGCTCACTCGGTGCCAGGCACCATGCTGATGATGGCTTCCCATGGATGAAGAGGCTCAGAGGTGGGCTCTGGGGTGAGGCAGATCTGGGTACAAGTTCTCCTTTTGCCACTCACCGGCTATTAGACCCCATGCAAGACTTAAGCACCTACTGTGGACTGCATCCATTCACATTCTTATCCCTCATTCAATTCAAATTGCACAATAACACTGCACGATGAGGTCTGTTTTCACATTTTTCCACTTTGTGCATGTCTCTGCACACATCCCTTACCTCCCTGAGCCTCAGGGTCTCCGGCTGTAAGATGGGGTTGGTAACAGCTGCCTCCCAGCATTGTGTGAAGATGTAGTACAATGCTTGCAAAAGCAATCTGGTCAGCAGTACGAGGCTCGGGGAGGTGGAGTCATGTTCCCAAACCTCCAGAGCTGGTCCCAGCTCTTCTGCCTCCAAAGCCTGTGCGCTGGCTCCTCCTACTTCAGTCAATCAAGACTTCATTTCTTTTTTTTTTTTTTTTTTTTTTTTTGAGATGGACTTTCGCTCTTGTTGCCCAGGCTGGAGTGCAATGGCACGATCTCGGCTCACCACAACCTCCGCCTCCCAGGTTCAAGTGATTCTCCTGCCTCAGCCTCCCTGGTAGCTGGGATTACAGGCATGCGCCACCACGCCTGGCTAATTTTTTGTTTTTAGTAGAAACAGGGTTTCTCCATAGTGGTCAGGCTGATCTCGAACTCCCGACCTCAGGTTATCCGCCTGCCTCAGCCTCCCAAAGTACTGGGATTACAGGCATGAGCCACTGCACCTGGCCTCAAGCCTCCATTTCTACAGAGGGATAACAAAACCTCTGGGAGCTGTTACTGGTTGATAGCAAACTCTGCCTGGCAGAGGGGTCAGCTGTTGTGGCAGCTGCAGACAGTTAGTTCTGTGGTTGTGTGAAGGGCTCAGATGCACGTCACATATCACGGTCATCTGTGAGTTACCTTTTTTGTTCTTTCTTTTTAAGGCTGGCACCTGAAAAGAGATTTTTTTCCCCACTCTCAACAAGGGGAGCATTTGTGTTCTGAGCTCCAGGCTTTGGCTGGGGGGTCCCTCGGCCTCCCAAAGTGCTGGGATTACAGGCGTGAGCCACCACACCTGGCTCTATGTACTTTATTTTGTGTGGTTTATACCTTAATAAAAAGGCAGAAAGAGAGGGAGGGAGGGAAGGAAGGAAGGAAAGAAAAGTGGGTACAGTGATCCTTGCCTGGCCTGGCCTCCAGGACAAAGTGAAGAGGCTGGTACCCAGGCCTCTCTACAAATAGTGGGCAGAATGGCACCAAGATATAGTGTTGACAGCAGACAGAAGAGAGAGAGGCTGGTGTCGGGCCTGCCTGTCTTTCTTTAGCCCCCATCCTAGGCGTCTCCCAATGGGACATTCCCTCCATAGTGGAAGGCAGATAGTACTACCTGATGGAAGACAGAAAGTGGGACTTTGGAATCACACCTACTGGCTGTGTGACCTTGGCCATGTTGCTCGCCTTCGCTGGGCCTCAGGCTCCTCATCTGGAAAATGGGAACAGTACTCTCAAAGAACTTCAGTTGACTGGGCATGGTGTCTCACGCCTGTAATCCCAGCACTTTGGGAGGCCAAGGCAGGCAGATCACCTGAGGTCAGGAGTTTGAGACCAGCCTGGCCAACATGGCAAAATGCCATCTCTACTAAAAATACAAAAATTAGCCGGGCATGGTGGCACGTGCCTGTAATCCCAGCTACTCAGGAGGCTGAGGCAGGAGAATGGCTTGAACCGGGGAGGCAGAGGTTTCAGTGAGCCGAGATTGCGCCACTGCACTCCAGCCTGGGCAACAGAGTGAGAGTCTGTCTCAAAAAAAAAAAAAAG
Organism: Homo sapiens; assembly: GCF_000001405.40. Classification (NCBI taxonomy): domain Eukaryota; kingdom Metazoa; phylum Chordata; class Mammalia; order Primates; family Hominidae; genus Homo; species Homo sapiens. Next base: position 724,659 of record NC_000020.11, on the reverse strand, counting down.
AAGAAGTGCAGACAGGCTTGAGACACTGGCTGAAGTGCCCTCAGCACAGAGGGTTTGCTTTGGCCAGTGTTCCACAAATGCAGCTCTTACTGGCCTCAACCCCAAGTGTGAGGGAGTGCCAGCCTTGCTGTCACTGGGCTTATGGACAGGTGGGAGGTGATGTTGGAGTCATGAGTTCCAGCCCTGATTTTTTTCCACTTACTATCTGTGTGACCGTGGGCCTGTCACTCTTCAGTAAAATGCCTTCCTTCCTAAGTTGTCATTGTATTCATTCATTCATTCATTCAACTTTGGGCAATTTCCTATGCTTTTCTGTGTTTCAGTTTGCTCATCTCTAAAATGGGGTTAACAGCCCCCACTGCAAGGGTTGCTGTGAAGATGAACGGAATTTGCACTTAGAACAGTGCCTAGCACAGCAAGGACTCAGAGGCACTGTCTGGTATCACTATTTGTGCCCATCTGTGGATGAGCTCCTGCTGTGTGGTGGGCACCAAGGGTGCCTGTGGGGCTGGCAGTCCAGCTGAGGGCTGGGCATACCCTTCATGCAGGGTCACGCAGGTAGATGACAAGGAAGCCCCAGAGCACTCTGCCTTCCAAGGCTACCACAGTAACTGGGCCAGATGCACAGCTCTGCCAAATGAGGCGCCAGGAGAGGCTGTCACGGGTGCACAAAGGCAGCTCCTGAACTCATCGTGGGCGGGGCCCCAGGGAAGAGCTCCAGCCACCTGGCTCAGCAACTGTTCATGGGGCAACCTGGCCCCAGGCCTGGGCTCTCCTTCCTGTGCGTGCAGTGAGAGGATGAAGCAGCAGGGCAGGGGCCAGAGACAGGCCCAAGATGCTGGGCAGAGAGACGTAAGAGGCGAGTCACAGGGCTTGGAGAGAGGGAGGGAGACAGACTTCTAAGACCAGGAGGAGAAGAAGAGGAGGGGAGGAAGGAACACGAATGATAAGCAGCTAACGCTCACCTGGCACCCATGGCACCCTTCAAGAGAGACACTGTTAGCATCCCACTGTACAGCTCAGGAAGCCAAAGCACAGAGAAATTAAGTGGCTTGCCCAACGCCACGCAGCCAGTGTGTGGCACAGCAGGGATTCGAACCCAGGGAGGCTGACATCAGAAGCCATACTCTTAATCATTATGAAACGGAAGAGGAGGAAAAGGAGAGGTGAGGGGGAAGAAGGACTAGACAAAGAGAGGAGGAAAGGGGAAGAGAAAGACGAAAGAAAAGAGAAGAATGAAGATGAAAAAAGGAAAAAGCGGAAAAGAAGGGAAAAGGTAGAAGAGAGAAGGAGGTAGAGAAGATAAAGGAAGAAGAAAGAAGTGGAGATGTAAGAAGGAGAGAGAAGTTAGCACCAAGGAGGGAGACAGACTCATCCTCAGGGGTCTGGGGAGGGAGGCTGCCCTCTGCTCCCACTGACGTCCCACCTGCATTGAGCTGCTTCCTGAGCTGCGTGCTGGGCTCCGGACAGCCCTGGCCACCATACTGGGAAATCCTGGCACTCTGGAGCAGTGACTGCCATAAGAGGGGCTGGTGAGCCAGCCACTGACCACAGCCAGAGAGGGGAGGCTAAGGGCTGAAGAACCGGAGGGGCTGCCAGGCAAGGAGCCCCTGCTGTTGCCCTGCTGGAGGGCCTGTTTCCACCCCACAGCCACGCTTCAGGGTGGACTTCTGGCCTCCAATTCCAAGTTGAAAAGCCCAAGTCAGGAAGGTGAAGTACATCCCCCAGGTCTCATGGCTGAGCCCACAGTCTGGTTCCAGGGACTGCATTCACAGCCTGCATCCCCTGCAGGCTCTGTATTGAAGTGGAGACATCAGCCAAGTATGAACACCAGCAACTGGCAGAGCTTGGCTGAGAAGTTGCCTGTACACAACCGATGGGCTCTCTCAACCTGTTCTCTTAGAGCTAAACTTACCTACTCAGTCTGGGCACCCACGGTCCTCCTCTGCAGGGGCAGCCTGCCAAGGACACAGAGAAGAGGAGGAGAAAGGAATGTAGGCCATGGGCACCCTGCCATGACCAAGCTGAAGACCCCGCAGCAGCCACCATGTCCCACAGCTCAGCAACTGAGACACTGTTCATTCCTCACTCAGGTTCCATGTCCACTGGGGGCCGGGATCTGAAGGTCTGAGGTTTAGTTTTAGATGGCCTGTGATCCCTTTGAAATTGCACCCCCATTTCTTTCTGGGTGTACCTGAACTTTTCTGGAGGAGGGCCTTTGGTTTTCATCAGACTTTCATCAGATGGCAGCTGAAGCAACAGAAGAAGCCAAGAAAGGGCACAGAGAAGCCCTCATTATCTGATGCTGCACGGCAAATGACCCCAAAACTTAGTGACGTACAACACAATGATCATTTAGTGTGTCTCAGTTTCTCTGGGTCAGGAATATAGAACAGGCCTGGCTAGGTGATTCTGGGCTGCTGTCATCTGAAGGCTTGCCTGGGGCTGGAGGATCCACTTCCAAGGTGGCTCAGTCATATGACTAGCAAGTCCATGCTGGCTGCAGGCAGGACCTCAGTTTCTCTCCATGTGGCCTTTCTGCAGGCTGCTTGAGTGACTTCACAGCCCGGCAGCTGGCTTCTCCGGGGGGATCAAACCCAGAGACCAAGGCAGAAGCTGCAACACACTCTATGATCCAGCCTTGGAAGTCACACTCTGTCATTTCCACAAAATCCTACTGGTTATTAGGACTCAAAGATTACTGGGGGCTATTTTAGGGGTTGGCCACCGCAGGAAGTTCGGAAAGGTAAGAGGGAAATCTGGAGAATTCAGAGCCCTGCAGAGAGTAGCCCTGCCTTGAACAGAACCAGGGTCATGGTTCAAGTCCAGAGCTTTCCACCACTTCCCCAGGCCAAGCTTCCACTTTCCACCTCATTTCTGGCCATACCTTCCCCACACTATCTCAGCTACAGATTTTCTATCAATTTCCTAAAGGCAATATCACTTCCCCCACCTCCAAGCCTTTGTTTCTGTTCTTTTCTCATCCTTGAGTACCCTTCTCACCTCCTCCTCTCTCAGACTATCTCCTCCAGGAAGCCTCCCTGCATGCACCCCACACATGTCAACTGCCCCCTCCAATCCCCAGTGCATCCCCAATCACTGCACAGACCCTCTGCACCCACGTCTGCCTTCCCACTCACCAACAGTACTCTGGCTTGGGGGACTGACCCACAATGGGTGCCCACCAGTGTGTGCTGAATGCATGAATTACGGGGGGGTTATACCCCACACACAACAGGGAGCCCCTTCAGGGCAGAGAGAGGCACTGAGGCACGGCTGATTGCCTCCCTGGGCCTCAGTGTACCCACCTGTCAAATGCCAGGGAGGCTTCTTCCAGCCCCAAGTTTCTGCCATTACATCCCCCTAGAAGTACTCAAGGGACAGCATCTTGAAATTTAAAAAGAGGGGCATGAGCAGGGTTGGAATCCCGGATCCTCTACCCACCTCTACCGCAAGTCACTGACCTCTCCACACCTCAGATTCCTCAGGTGTAAAAGGAGCTAATGTTCTTCACCACCCAGGGAAGCTGACAGGGATGAGTGCTAAGGCACAAGAGGGGATAAATCTTGACTCCACCACTGGGCAGATGACTTAATCCCTCATTTTCCCCATCTATTAGATGGGGACGATTATATTTGCTTGGCCAGGTTGCTCTGATCTGAAACTGCATTCATCCAGGTAAACACTCTGCACAGAGCCTGGCATGTGGTAGATGCCTGGGGCAGTTGTGGATGGGACACAGTCTCTCTTCAAGAAAAAGCTTGTCCTTCAGCAGCAAGGAGGGCAGCAAGGTGACAGCCTCCAGCTGCAGCTCCTCCAGGAGCCGCCTTGGCTTTGGAACTGAGGCCATGTTCTTCCCAGGTCGTCCCAGCCAGACTGAGCTAGCAGAGGCACCAGGGCCTGGCCATTTCTGCCCCATGTGGGGCTTCTCTGTGGATAATCTTTACTCCAGAGACCCCTAGAGGGTGACTCTGCAGGCCCGGGCTGTGGTCTGAGGCTCTCCTGGCCAATTCCATTCCCTCCTGCTTTGTGTTTCACAGGTAGCAGCCCTCACTAACCCCCTTGCCCTCCTAACTCTCTCCCAGCACCAGCACCGAGGGGCACCCAAACTGAAAGGCTGCTCAATGGAGCAGTGGTTCTCAAAGTGTGTCCCAGAACCCCCAGCATCAGCATCAACCAGGATCCTGTAAGACATACACATTCTCAGGCCACACCCTACATTTAGAGATGGAAATGCCTGGAAATCTGCATTTTAACTGATCCTTCCAATGCACTCAACTTGGAGAACTGCTGTCACAGAGGACAACAATCAGTAAGATATGCACAGCAGTGTGGCCAGGGTGTGTGTGTGTATGTGTATGCACGCACACGTGCCTGTGTGTGTTTTGTGGGAAGGGGAGAATGTTTATCACAGCCTCAGCAATTTACCACCCCCCAAGGCCCTCCCTCATTTATTTCAAGAACCCCGAGGGCTAGGCCAACAAGCCTCCCTCCCTGCCCATTCAGGAGGAAGGTCCAGTCCCAACCTCCAGCTGGAGACTCTGCAGGCCCAGTCTGTGAGGCTGCACATAAGCCCAGCCTTCTTTCCTCCTGCTCCTACGCTCTCTCCCCGCCTTCCTCCCCAGGGGCACCCAGCCCCAACCGCCCGCCTCCTCTTTGTCTGCCAATCTGTCTCCATCCCGTGATGAGCTCCCGGCCTCAGCCAGCCAGTCTGTGCTCCATCTTCAGGATGGAGAGTGAGGCCTCGATGCTCCCAACTACTTCCCACTCACCCTGGTGAAAGGTCACTGAGAATGGTTCATGCCACCAGCTTCACTTCCGCCTCCCAACCCGTCGCCCAGGTGGAGACCCTGCCCAGTCTAGGCCAATAATCGCATCTCCTGATGGATAGGAGACATCCTATCCATCCTATCTTCAAGAAAAAGCTTGTCCTTCAGCAGCAAGGAGGGCAGCAAGCTGACAGCCTCCAGCTGCAGCTCCCCCAGGAGCCGCCTTGGCTTTGGAACTGAGGCCATGTTCTTCCCAGGTCGTCCCAGCCAGACTGAGCTAGCAGAGGCACCAGGGCCTGGCCATTTCTATCCTATCCTATCCTTAGATAGGGAGACATCCTCCCTATCTAAGACACTCAAAACCTCATTATGTGACAAGAGAGGACAAAGGGGACAGAGGTGCAGAGGCTTGCCCAGGGTCACATACCAAGAGAGGGGAGCAGCCAGGAGTTGGCCCCTGCTCTCTCCTTCCACCTCAGATTCCAACTCCCAGGCCCTGGCAGGTGGCAGGTGATGGTTCTGAGGTGGTCACGTGTGGCGGGGACACTGTTGGCCCTGGAAAACCAAGACCTTTGTGAACTCACAAAAGCAGCACGTGCTTCTTTCTCTAGTGGGCGTGGTGGTCCCTGTCCTGCTCACCGATGCCACAGCCCTGCAAATAAGGCTCAGGCAGGGGGACACTGCCTGTGGGTCACATGGCTGCCTTCCCTTTTCTAAACTGTCAGTAGGTGATACATCAGCACCTTCCTTCATGATGCCCAGCCCATCCCTCATCCTGCCCCACCTCAAGGAACCCTGGAATGTCAGGGCCAGAATAACAGTGACAGTTATGACAGATTACTTGCTATGTGGCAGGCATGACTGGCAAGTGCTCCAGACATCATTGTATTTATTTATTTATTATTATATTTTTTATTTTATTTATTTGTTTTGAGACAGAGTCTCACTTTTTTGCCCAGGCTGGAGTGCAGTGGCTCAATCCTGGTTCCACTGCAACCTCCACCTCCCGGGTTCAAGCGATTCTCCTGCCTCAGCCTCCCAAGTAGCTGGGATTACAGGCGCCCGCCACCACACCCGGCTAATTTTTGTATTTTTAGTAGAGACAGGGTTTCACCATGTTGGCCAGGCTGGTCACGAACTCCTGACCTCAAGTGATCCACCCGCCTCAGCCTCCCAAAGTGCTGGGATTACAGGCATGAGCCACCGCGTCCGGCCCATCATCGTATTTCATTCTCACCAGGAGCGCATGACAGACATGCAGCTCTCAGCCCACTCTACTGACATGGACATAAAACTCAAAGAGACAAAGCACTTTAACTCCAACTGCGCTAGACCAACTCCTCCATTTGATAGATGGGGAAGCTGAGTCCCAGAGAGGTGACATGATTTCTCCAAAGACACACACTAGTCAGTGTCAGAGTCAGCCTTTTCCAGGCAGCTTACCCCCTGAGAGTGACCATAGTTCACTCACACGCCACTTTAGAGTTTGTCAAGCTCTCCTCTCCTCTCAGGAAGGGAAGGGTTTCTTTTGTTTAATGGTTCTCACTCTGGGATGCTTATATGATGTGCCAAGCAAGCATGGTTTGAAAGCTTTGTAAACATTAACTCATTTAATGCTCACAAATACCCTATGATGCAGATATGTTTATTGCCCCCATTTTGCAAATGAGGAAACAGGCACAGAGAGCTGGAGTAAACTGCCTAAAGTCACACAGCCAAGATTCAAATCCAGGCTGCCTGAGGTATTAACTACTATGATGTTCTGCCCTTTTTACTGCCAAAAAAGCCTGAGGCTCAAGGAGAGGACATGACTTGCATGAGGCCACACACTAGAGTGGTGGTGGCTGGACTGGAGCCCAGGCGTCCTGCCTCCACGCCCAGCGCTGGCTCTCCACCCCCCGCCCCACTCCACGGGGCTCTTTCTCACTCTATGTTGATTCACAAACATCAGTTGGGAGCCTTCTTTGGCCAGGAGGTCTGCCTCAGTTCCCCTACCTAACAGGTGAGGCAAACAAGAAACAGACACCTAAAAAACAAATGGATAAATGGGTTCATGGAGGTACCAGAGGCAGCTGTGGGAGTACCAGGCAGGACACAGAGCCACCCTGGGAAAAAGAGAAGGCTTCTGGAAGTCTGATCCTTGAGTTGAATCTCCAAGTTCAAGTGGCACCCTTTCCGGAAGGACAGAATGGAATAGGGCATCCCAGACTGAGGAAACAGCACGTGCAAGGGTTGGGGTATGGGAGAGTGTAAATTGTTGTGAAAAGTACTGTTCAACCCCACGCAAGGGAGGGCACAGAAAAGGCTGTCCTGGAGGATCATGGAAAGAGTCTCAGAGAGTCAGAACGCGGGAGTCCTGACCACAAATCTGCCCTGTCTCACAGTGACCTTGGTATTCCCATCTGTAAAATGGATTGATATCTAAGCACTCTGCCAGCTCCATCCTTCAGCTGGTGGAGTTAGGATGGCTTTGAGTAGGGGGCTGGTTTTGATGTGAGGGCAGAAGGTAAGGGAGGAAAGGCATTCTGGAAAGGAGGACCTGTAGGAGCAAAGGTCCAGAGAGAGAAAGTGCAGAGCAGGCATTAGAAATGGTAAGGACGGCCAAACACGGTGGCTCACGCCTGTAATCCCACTACTTTGGGAGGCCAAGGCAGGAAGATTTCTTGAGTCCAGGAGTTCAAGACCAGCCTAGACAGCATAGTGAGACCCTGTCTCTATGAAAAAAAAAAAAATAGCTGGGCATGATGGCAAGCACCTATAGACCCAGCTACTTAGGAGGCTGAGGCAGAAGGACTGCTTGAGCCCAAGAGGTCAAGGCTGCAGTGAGCTGTGATTATGCCACTGCACTCCAGTCTGATCAACAGAAAGAGACCTTGTCTCAAAAAAAGCAAGCAAGCAACGGTAAGGAGAGGATGTAGCTGCTGTTGATGGTCCATTGGATGGTGCAGACAGGGGACACATATGAAGAAGTTGTATCAGTCTGGACTCTTCAGTTAGAAGTGAAAGAAATAAAAAAAAAAGTAATTATTAATTTATATAACTGAGAAGCCCAGGGCACTGGCTTCTGTTATGGCTGAATCCAGGTGCTGACATGTTACTGTGAGGATCCTGTCTCTCTCTCTATCATGGCTTTGATTTCTTTCTTGTAGGCCTCACTCTCAGGCAGCCTGTAACCTCATGGAGGCAAAGGTGGCCACCACTACCTCTGGAATCCATCACACAAACTACACTTCTGGTGGAAAGGCTCCCAGTAGCCCCACAAAAACCTCAGAAGCAGCTCTTGCCAGACTTACTTCCTAGAATTGTCATGAAGATTAAAGAAGTTAATAGAGCTTAGCCCAAGCTCTGGTACACAGCAGGTCCTCAGTCTTTGCTGTAGCTCAGCCAGAGAACTTGACATTATCCTGGACTATTCTCTGTCTTCACATCTAACATTAGATCTGTTTGCAAATCTTATTGGATCTACATATAAAAGAGATCTAGAATGCATACAGTTCTTCCCACCTCCACTGATAACAGTCTAGTCCAAGCCACCTTCATCTCCCTACTTTGTTTTCTAAGTTTTATATGTATATAGTATATTTATATAGTAATATATTCATGTATTCAATTCAATTGTGAACACAATTTAGACGTGTACATCCAGCTCAATGAATCTTCACACAGTGAGCAGATGATGTAACCTCCCTCAGATCAAGATACAAGACACCGACAGCACCCCAGAAGCCTCCTTCATCCCCGCTCCTAGTTATTCACCCCCTTGGTAGTGTGTCCTTTCATGTGTCTGAGTCACTAGCATTCACCTGGCTTAGTGCACTGGTTCCCAGCAAGTCTCTGGCTTTCTCTCTTGCCCTCTTATCCCTTTCAGTTAATCCAATCGATTCAGAGATCCTGTAAAAGATGTCCTCCCTCTGCTCAAAATCCTCCCATGGCTCCCATTTCATTTGGTGTAAAAGCCAAAATCCTCTCCATGGCCTGCAAGGTCCTACACAAGCTGACACCTCATCCCTCCCTCTCCCCACTTTCCCCACATAACTCTCTGCTCCAGCCATACGTGCTCCCTTCCTTCCTCAAACACACTACCCGCACTCTCAGCTATACACGCAGGAGACCATTGTACTTGCTGTTCACACTGCCTAGAATCTCCTTCCTCTCCCCACTCCCATATCCTCTTGGTTCACTCCATCAACTCCTTCAAGTTTGTGTTCAAATGTCACCTTCTCATATCTGCTTCCACCCAAGATGGAGTATCAGAAACTGAATTTACTCTCCTGCTTGAAACAATCAAACAAACAAACCAAACCAGGCAAAATACATGAAACTGTAATTTTTAAGACTCTAGGCAACAGGCAATAAAGGATCATGATCCCTGAGAAGTGGGAAATAAGATGAACCCTATCATGGCCTCAGTTTGCCGCTTGGAGAGAGTTTTCAGAACCTAGTGCAGGGAGGAGGAACCCAGGCAGCACCCAGGAGGCTTCCTGAGTTAAGGAAATAGAGTTGAGAGTCCAGGAAGGACAAAGAGGGCAGAGTTTGCAGGACACAGTATTGGGAGGAAAGAGTTGCACAGAGAGACTATTCCAGAGATATGAAGAAAGTCCCCCTTGAGTATTAGACTGAGTACTGGTTGGTGCTTTTGTATGATAAAACTACACTGAAGTAGGGGTGAAAATCATCTGATAAGATTAGAGAACAGTGCTCAGCACTCACACAAAACCAGAAATATTAATAAACAGAAAAAACCCTCATAATTTCTGGGGTACTGGGTAGAGTGCTCAGGAAGGTCTTTTCTCAACAGTGGTATATAATTAGCCCTCAACAGATAGCACTGCTCTGGACCCACTCAACAAATTATAAAAGCAAGACTAGGAAGGATAAAACTGTTTCCAAGTAACTTAATTGCATCTTAGAGCAAAACTGAAGGAGATTTATAGAAATATAAAAGTGTACAGCACCCAACAAGGGTAATGTTCACAATGCCTGGCATCCAAAGTTTACCATGCACGTAAATAAGCAAGAAAACATGGCCCATACAAGAATAATAATCAATCAATTGAAACTGACCCAGAACTGATACAGAAGTAGGAGATAAGAGCATTAAAATAAGTATTCAAATTGTATTTCATGGTCTGCATGTTCAAAGGTTAAGGAGAGACTTGGAAGATATAAAATGACCCAAACTGAACTTCTAGAAATGATAACTACATGTCTGAAATGAAAAATATGCTGATGTGACAGAAGAAAAGATTAGAGAATTTTAAGATGTAGCAATAGAAACTACCCAAAATCGACGACTCAGAGAAAAAGAAAGAATCCAAAAAACCAAGAGTATTAGGAGCTATGGAACAACTTCAAGAAGCCTAATATATGTGTCTTTGAAGTCCCCAAAGGAGAGGAAATAGAAAATTAATGGCTGAGAATATTTCATATCTGATATAAACTATAAACTCACAGATCCAAGAAGCTTAACGAACCTCAAGCACAAGAAACAGGAAGGAAATTACCCACCATGAACGAATTGCTCAAAACCAGTGACAAACAGATAAATATTAAAAACAGTCAGAGAAAGAAAAGCCTTGTAAAGTATAGAGAAACAAAGATAAGGATAATGGCAGATTTCTTGTTGGACACAATTTAAGGAAGAAAATAGTGAAGCAACAACATCTTTTAAGCTAATGAAAGAAAAAACCTGCCGATCTAGAATTCTATACCCAGTTAAAATATCTTTTAAAAATGAAGATGAAATAAAGATGATTTCAGACATACAAAAGCTGAATGCATTTGTCACCAACAGATCTGCACTGCAAGAAGTGATAAAGGAAATCCTTCAGGCAGAAGGAAAATGATACCAGATGGAAATCTGGATCTACATAAGGGAATGGAGGTCACCAGAAGTGTTAACTACATGAGTTAAATATATAAAATCTTTTCTGATTATTTAATTTAAAAAAAGATAACTTAGCATTTAAACAAAAATAATAACATTTTGTGGAGTCTGTCACACATATGTATGTATGACAACAACAGCAAGAAGGCCAGGAAGGAAATGAAAGTATACTATTACATGATTTTCTTTTTGAGTCTTGCTCTGTCACCCAGGCTGGAGTGTAGTAGTGCTATCTCAGCTCACTGCAACCTCTGCCTCCCAGGTTCAAGCAATTCTCCTGCCTCAGCCTCCCGAGTAGCTGGGACTGTAAGCATGCACCACCATGCCTGGCTAATTTTTGTATTTTTAGTAGAGACAGGGGTTCACTATATTGGCAAGCTGGTCTCAAACTCCTGACCTCAGGTGATCCGCCCACCTCAGCCTCCCAAAGTGCTGGGATTACAGGTGTGAGCCACCGTACCCAGGCTTATAAGGCCTAATGTAACTACTAAGATAACAAACAAAACATTACAGTTAATAAACCAACAGAGAAGGTAAAACGATATAATAAAAAAGGAGGAGTTAAAATGAAATAGTAAAAAAAACTGAGCTTATACAAAAGAAGACAGAAAAAGAAGAAAAAGGAAGCAAAGAACAGATGGGACAAAAATAAAACAAATAGCAAGATGATAGACTTAAATCTAACCACGTCAATGATCACATCAAATGTAAATGGTCTAAATACCCTCAATTAAAAAGCAGAGATTGTTAGATTGGATTTTTTTAAAAAAATAAGACCCAAATATTGTTTTTTTTAAAAAAAAAAAATAAGACCCAACCTTCAAAACGGCACACCTTAAGTGTAAACACACAAGTTAAAAGTACAAAGATGGAAAGTAACAGTAATCAAAATAACACTGGAGGAGTAGCTAGTTTCATATCAGACAATGTTTGTTTCAGAGCAAAGAATATTACCAGGAAAGATAAGGTCATTTTATAATGATTAAAAAGGTCAAGGCTGGGTGCGGTGGCTCACGCCTGTAATCCCAGCACTTTGGGAAGCCAAGGCAGGTGGATCACAAGGTCAGGAGTTTGAGACCAGCCTGACCAACATGGTGAAACCCCATCTCTACTAAAAATACAAATATTAACTGGGCGTGGTGGTGCACACCCGTAATCCCAGCTACTCAGGAGGCTGAGGCCAGAGAATCTCTTGAGCCCAGGAGGCGGAGGTTGCAGTGAGTCGAGATTGCGCCACTGCACTCCAGCCTGGGCGACAGAGCAAGACTCTCCATCTAAAAAAAAAAAAAAAAGGTCAGTTAATCATGAGCATATAACAATTCTAAATATTTATGCCCCCAATAGCAGAGATTCAAAATACATGAAGGAAAAAGTGAATGACCTGCAAGGAGAAATAAATCCACCTTATCAACTGAGATTTCAAATCTCCATAACTGAAAGCAGAAAGAAAATATTGTCACTTTCTTAGTGAGTCCTGCCTTGACTCTCAATTTCAATTGCACCTTCTAAAATAACATTTATTTATTTATTCATTTTTATCTATTTATTTGTATAATGTCTAGAATGGTGTCTGGCGCTTAGAAAATTCTCAAAAAAAAAAACTGTTAAATAAAACCAAGGTCAAAAGGATGTTAATTGCTACTATCATGACTAGTATTATGTGACTCTGCACATAGTCTTTCTCTATTGTTATTTGAATGGGTAGACCCCAACAAAATTAATACTGAAGACTCAATCTAGAACATAAGGGCGGAAATCAGAACTTCACCATATTCGTGTAAGATGCATAGGATGGGAAAATTCTAAAAAGTCAGAAGAATACAATGTTAGAATGTAGGATGCTTAGGGGCAGAACATCAGAATCAGAGACCAGAGTTGATGAGGAAACTAACCCTGCTATGCATGGGGTGGGAGTAGGGGTTGGTCAGAGCCAAACAGCACTTTCTAAAATCCCACCTGCTGGTTCTGGGTGTCTCCTAACTCTAGTATCCATAAGGAGATGTCCATCCTGCTAACCCAACTAACCCAGCTCAGCAAGGCAAAGAGACTGAGAAACTATTCACCCATGGCTTCAGGAGCAGCAGGAATGAAGGGAGTAAGTGGGGAGGAACAGGAAGGGGGGAAGGGAGGCCGTATTTTCCATTTTAATTCAGCTCCTGCTCACCAGGCCCCTTCTGGACTGTGGGCTCATGAGGCATCGTGGTCATGCAAGACTGGAGTATGTCATTATCAGAGGGAAACACTACTGCCACCACCTCAGGGCTAGGGGCAGAGGTTGCAGCAGTCTGAGGCCTGCCCATCTTCCCAGGGACCCTGCCCCATGCAACAGAACTGGCTGGAGGCTGGGTCCTAGTGGGTGGGGACATGAGGCTACTTAGGGACCTAGTTCCCTAGACCCAGGAGTGTGGCCCTTTCCTGCCCAGGCAATGATACACACTGTATTGGGGATGAGGGTAGGGGTCTGGCAAGTAGGGCCCACCCTCCTAATCAGGTGCCCTGCTTTGTTTTTATCTAAAGCTCATGTCACCTAGTGACCTACCTCATGTCTTACATGTTTATTTTATTTCTCATTCATCTTCCGAAGGAGACTGCGAGTCTGTGAAGGCAGCCAAGAACTCTGCTCTGCTCACGGTTGTCCCTAGCACCTAGGGACGCTACCGTGGACTCCGCACACAATAAGCGTGCCAGCCATGCTGTTCTTGGATGGAAGAGATGAAGCTGATTTCCCAGCCCTGCACACAGGGATTCTTCGCACACTGGATCACACCCTTCTTGTAGAAACTAGTGAAGGCTGTGCCTTCTCTACCCAAAAACTCACACAAGTCATATGCTGATGAAGACACTTCTCAAAGACCATAGACACACACACACACACACACACACCCAGCCCCAAGCTCAGCACAGACCACAGGTTTTTTGCCAAGCTTCACCCTACCGCCAGCTGTGAGATGAAACTCAAGGGCCTCTTTCCAGCACCAGCCATTTTTGGTTTTCCCTGTGCCCCTCCAAGGAAAATCACAGAAAACAGCAAGAACCAGCACTTGTGAGCACTCACCGTGTACCCAGCACTGCGCCAACACGGTCTCAGCCCATCACCTCCACCGCCCCGGGCGCAGGGTGGTTACCTGACGCAAATCCTCAACGGCGAGTAGGGAGAACTGTTGGAACCCCTTTCTGAACCACCACGCTATTGGCCTCTAAAATAGGCCCAGATTTATCCTGCCTTTGGGCCTCTGGTTTTCAACACTACCTGAATCACAGGCTACCTTTCTGAGGCTGGGTCAACTGCTGGCAAAACCCCAGAAAAATGCACAAAGAGACACTGTCAGGCAAATTCCCAGGCCTCTCCCTCCCACCTCCCACCTCCCCTAACCCCCACCCCCAGCCATGGGAGCCTGTAGATCCCCAAGCCAATAACCAGGCGTTAAGCACCTGCGGTACGAGATGGGTGGCAGGGTCCCCCTCTTTTCTGGACACCGCTGGGAACCCTCCGCCCCACAATTCTTCAAACTGCTGCTGTGCTTCCCCCCCACCTTCTTAATTAATACCGCACTGCTTGACAGGGCGGCCCCGCGTGCGAGTGGGCGTGCGCGCGCGTGTCTGGGGGCTGGGTGGGGGGGCCGGGGGGAGGGGGTGCTGGCTGCCTGCCCAAGAGCGAGACCCCGCCCCCAGCCCCCGGCCGCTGGAGGATTGTGAAGCTCAAACAGATGGACCGAGCCAAGGGGCGGGGGCGCGCGGATGGGGTGCGAGACGGCAGCGCGGCGGCCGGGCCTGCGGGCGCCCTGACAAAGGCGGGGCCGCGCGGCGAGGGGCGCCTTATCTGCGCCAGCAGACCGGGCGGCCCGGGGGGCGCCCACGGCCCACGCTCGGGCGCACAAAGGCCCGGGGCCGGGAGGGGGTGTGGGGGGCGCGAAGATTAATTGCCCAATCAAGTTGTCGGCGCGGGGCGGGGGCGCGGGCCTCGGCCCCGGGGGACGCGGGACGGCGCATAATGAAGTGTGCGAAAAGTTAATTTGCTCCGCGACTCGCTGCTCACCACAATCAAAGGCGGGCGGAGGGGAGCGGAGGACCGAGCAGTGTCCCCCCCACCATCCCCTCCCCCGACCCCAGCTCGTGATCCAAAGGCAGGATGAGGGGGTCACAGGGCACACGGAGTGGAGGACCGAGCAGTGTCCCCCCCACCATCCCCTCCCCCGACCCCAGCTCGTGATCCAAAGGCAGGATGAGGGGGTCACAGGGCACACTCCCACAGCTGGGGGCGGAGGTCACCAGACGTGCGCCCTACTCCCCCTTCCTCCCGCTGTGAGTCTCCCGGCAGGTCCCGTTCCCTCTCTGAGCGCCACTCTCCTCTCCTGGACTCACAATGGTTGACATTTCTGGAGCACTCACGCTGCTGGGCACAGTGCCAAGCGACCGAGCGTTTCCCTGGCGTCGTCTCCTTTTATCTCACAACCTGAGGACATAACGCCTGTGCGCATCCGTTTTAAACCTAAGGTACAGAGAAGCCCGAGAAGTACTCCAAGGTCACAGGGCTCTTACCTAGCTCAGAGCCTTAGGTGGAAAACAGCACGGTGGAAAGGGTCAAAGACAAAATACACGGAAGAATTGGGGTTGATGGTATTATTCATGCTATTGCAACAGGGAGAGCATCCCAGATCCCAAAATCAGAGTGTCTGGACAGGATGGATTTGCCTTTGACTTTTGTAGGGGTGAGGAGACAGGTTACAGCAGGAGGGATTTAAAGTGGGGATTGTCTTACAAATAGGGGATATCTCCATCAGTCCATTGAAGAGGAAATGTTCATCTCTGTGTCTAGCTAGTTTCAGAGAGGACACACAGTTCTCATCTCAGCTAATCAACCATGAGACAAAGAATGGGAAGTGGGAGGGTCCTTGGCCTTGGCCTTGTCAGCAGGTTCCAGCAAAAGGGGAAAGATCACAGGCCAGCAAGGGAGTCATCCTCCAGTCTTACAGGATACACTAGAAAGAGGGGACTACGTCTTATCTGAGTCATATGGGGAAGGGTGGCTCGTTTTGCTAAGCCATTTCCCTGAACAGAAAAGGTAGGGAGACTTCAGAAAACAAAAAGTTGGGGGGATTTCTGGACCATCGCTGTTTTTCAGGAGCACAGGGCTCAGGTAAAGTTTAACATTGTCAAAAGAGTGGCTTGATAGCACAGGTGGAGACCCTGGTACCCTGTGACAGAAGCTTTGCTGAGTGCCTTAAAGGCCCCTGCCTGATGAAGCACTCATCCTTAGTAAATATAAATACCCCTTTACCATTACCCTGGGGAGTGTGACCTCAGGCAAATCATTTAACCCTCTCTGTAAAATGAGAGCAATGATAACGATACTCACCTTCTAGGATACTCTTATCAGTGACAGCGTTCACAACAATTACAAAGCAGAGCCCTGGAACATGGTAGGTGCTCAATTAGCTATGGGCCTGGTGTGATGGCTCTTACCTGTAATCCCTGCACTTTGGTAGGCCGAGGCAGAAGGATGGCTTGAGCCCAGGAGTTCGAGACCTGCCTGGACAACATGGCAAGACCCCATCTCTACAAAAAAAAAAAAAAAAAAAAATTAGCTGGGCATGGTAGCAGTGTGCACCTGTAGTGCCAGCTACTCAGGAGGCTGAGGTGGGAGGATGGATTGAGCCCAGAAGGCTGAGGCTGCAGTGAGCTGCAATCATGCCACTACACTCATGCCTGAGCCACAGAATGAGACCCTGTCTCAAAACAAAACAAAAACAAAAGGTTAGCTGTGAGTACATACTACTATTTTCTCAGAAAGTAGTGGTGCCAGGGTTTTAACTCAAGCTGCATGTTTTCAGAGACTGCAGGCTCATCACTAGGGTACACCACCAGCTCTCCATATATGGATTCAGTCTTCAAACACCAAACACATCCTGAACCTGTGTTCCAGGTACTGGGCGCCCTGACAAGAAAAGGAGCAAGCCAGCCCCAAACAGACAATGGCACAGAAGCCACAGTGGCTGTGGGAGCTCAGAGGAAGTGCCACGGTCCCCTCCTTCAGAAGTGGCTTCCAGGCCAGAGCTGGGGTCACCCTCTAGCTCTGACTGGTGGCTCCTGAGTCCTGGTTCTCTGACCCACTGCTCAGGCCTGTCCCTGGGCCCAGGCCGGACCAGAGGACTGGCAAGGGAGCCCTTGAGAATGATAGGAGCCAGGCTTTCAAGCAAGAAGGGGCGGAGTCACAGCCAAACCAAGATTTATGGGCCCGATCATAATAATGAAAGAAGAAAAGAAAAAAAGGACGCGTGTTCGGCAATGCCCAGGGACCAGGACTGCCGCCCTATTACCAAAAATGTCGTCGCTCTCGACTCTGCAAATTAGCATAAAACATGCTGTTTTGCATTCATTTGCATATCATTTGCATGCTAATGACTTGACGACACAATGCACCCAGTCCCCTAAGAGGCTTCTGGTCTTAGCTTCTCTCTTAGCCCCTGCCCCTTGTCTTGTATTGAGAAAAATAGGAGATCTGGGTTCTAGTCTAGGCTGGGCCACTCACTGGGCAGATCCCTGCTCCTCTCTGAGTCTCAGTTTCCCTGACTGTGAGCTGAAGGAGATAAACTGAGCAGGGATTTTCAAGTTATGCTCCAGTAGGCCTCTTGGGGGCTGCAGACACAGAGACGGGGAAGCAGGTGGGGCAGGCGCCCCCCTTCAATCCCCTGCTAACAGCTGGGGCTCTGAGTAAAATTTCTCCTGACCAATGCAGAGCTTCTCTGTTAAAAACAAAGACCAAAAAGTTTGCAAACAAATGAACTCAGATTTCTCCACTGAGTCTTTCCAGTGCAATGTTTTCCAAAGACGTTAATAATAATGATCAGAGTTAAAATATATAGCACTTACCATAGAGCAGGCACTGTTTGAAGCACCAGACATATATAATTCACTTAATCCTCCCGCAGCCCTTGAAATAGGTGTTATTATTGTACCTCCATTTTACATGTAGGTAAACTGAGAACGAAAGGTTGAGTAACTTAGCTAAATTCATATGGTCACTACGTGGTAAAGGTTCAAACCCAGGCAGTCTGGCTCTAGAGTCTACACCATGAGTTTATCCAGGTCAACCCTTCCGTTGCACAGATGAGGAAACAGGCCCAGAGAGGGAGAGAAAATTTCTAAGCACAGCAGTGAAACTGCCCCTTGAACCTTTCTGCCCAAGCCCAGACTCTGCCACCCAGGGAAGGATGGCTGGAAAAGGGAGGCCTGGGGTTTCAAACATGGTCCAATGGGCGTGCAACGGTAAAGGGTGCCTTCTTTGTGGCCACCACCAGCGCCTGTGTCTTCCTCCTCAGCCAGCCTAGTCCCAGCTGGTAGACTCCAGGGAACAGACCCCTGAGCCAGGCAGGATGAGCCCCTAAATCAGGCAACCAGCAGGCTGGTGAATGCCAGGTGTGCCGGCCGGAACACACAATGCCCTGCCTGACTGTGCAGGTGGAGGCACCACAGAGCGGGGTCCTGGTGAACGGGGGGCAGGGAACTTTATCTCTGCAGAGACAGGCAGTGCCAGGCCAGCAGGTGTTTGGCCCCCACCCCTTGGGGGTCTAGCTGGGAAATTATCAGATGCAAAGACGACTACCCAACCCCCACCCAGGGGTGAACTGTAGGGGGCTAGTCATCCCTTCTCTTTATTCAGTGTCTATCCACGACACTCTGGACTTTCTCCAGCCCCCTCCCTCTTGCCAACCTCCCCCTCTCGCCCTGCTCCAGCCACCTTGGCCTTCTCTCTGTTCCTTTCTCCCACCAAGCTCTGTCCTACTTCTGCACCCTGGCACTTGCTGTTCCCTCCACCTGGAACACTGTTGGGCCCCATTGCATGCTTTGGGTCTCAGCTCAAGAGTCACTTCCTGGAGAGGCTTTTCCTGGCCACCCCATCTGAAGTTAACTACCAGTACCGCATCCCCATTACTCTCTAGCACTTCAACCTTGTTTTCTTCTCAGCTATGATCACAATCTGAACTTTGCTTATTTATGTGTCTCTCATTGAGTGCCTGTCTCCAACACTATATTCTCACTGTAGGAGAGTCAGGACCATGTCTGTCTTATAGCAATAAAGTTCTCCATAATTATTTGTTTCCGGAAATAAATAAGAGGAAAGACAGTGCTGCAGCTGACTTACTTGGTCCGTATTGGTCTCCCACTCCTCCACCCAGCCCTGGAATGTCCACTCCACAGGGCCAGGGTTTTGTGTCTGTTGTGTTTGCTGCTGTGTTCTCAAGGGCTAGCACTGTGCTGGTACACAGTAGATGCTCAATAAATATTTGTTGCATGAAGGAGCAAAGTGTGCAAGAGCTCTGGACTGGGAGTCAGGAGACCTGAGTCCCTTCCCAGCATTGTGCTTGATGGAGTATAGGACCAAGGGCAAGTTCCTTCCTCTCTGGGCTTTCACGTTCCTCTCTAAAAGCTGGACTTTAAAATCTCTGCTACAGGACCATGGAAGGTCAAGTGTGGCTTGTCCTCATTCACTCCCCAGAGAAGGCAGGTGATGCAACTGCCAGCAGGGAAGGGGCAGGCAGAGCTGGGTTCCAGTCAAGGCATGGCTACTACCTGGCTATATGACCTTACAGAATCACAGTCCCTCTCCCATTTCCTCATGTGCAAAAGGGGCACAGTGGGCCAGGTGTGGTGGCTCATACCTGTAATCCCAGCACTTTGGGAAGCCGAAGTGGGTGGATCACCTGAGGTCAGGAGTTCGAGACCAGCCTGACCAACATGGAGAAACTCCGTCTCTAATAAAAACCCAAAATTAGCCAGGTGTCATGGTGCATGCCTGTAATCCCAGCTACTTGGGAGGCTGAGGCAGGAGAATCACTTGAACCTGGGAGGTGGAGAGTGCGGTGAGCCAAGATTGCACGATTGCACTCCAGCCTGGGCAATAAGAGCAAAACTCCATCTCAGAAAAAAAAAGGGGGGGGCACAATGGCTAGAGGACTGCCTGAGACAAAGGCAGGCACAGAGTTGCTCAGTGTAAAGCGCTCTGCCCATAAGTGTTTTTTCTCATCAGCAAGGCAGTGCAGCAGGACCTCACACCACAGCTCCGCCCAGCATGCACTGTTTCCTTATCTATAAAAGGAGCTCCCCATAGTACCAACCTGGCACATTGCAGGGGCTTTATAACCACAGTCCTTAGAGTCAGTAAGTGCCTCTGTGGCTCTTTATGTCTGATTATTTGTGTTCTCCCAAATCATTATTTGTGGACCACTTCCATCCCCTTCTCACCCACCCGCCACGTTGTACCCAAGCAAGTGACCCTATTATGTGCCCAGTGGGTACTATGGGGAGCTCCTTTTACAGCTAAGGAAGCAGAGCACACATTGGGTGGAGCTGTGGCATGAAGAGAACCCAAATATCAGAGCACAAAGGGAGACCCAAGGTGAGGATGGAGTGGGCATGGTTTAATTTCAATGTTAGGGTGAGTTGGGGAGGATGGGGCTGGGGGAACCAGGGCATGAGGCTGGAGAGGTGAGCCACGGTGAGATCAGGCAGCCCTGGGGGTCAGATGAGGATTTGGCCTTTATCATGGGAGCAGTGAGTGCTACAGGATCATTTTAAGCAACGAAGTTAAATGATTCAAGTTTCAAAACACTCACTCTGGCTTCCAGGTGCCAGGTGTGGCTGGCATTCCAAGCGATTTGCCATGTCCCGCAGTATGAGAACCCCCTCCCCACCGATATAGCTGGGTGAATGGATGGCAGAACAGAGACCACGCTTCCCAGCCTCTCTTGCAGTTAGGGGTGGCCATGTGTCTGCATTCCTGCCATGAAGAGGTAAACGGAGTACCGAGTACAACTTCTGAGCGGTGGGGGTGAGGGGTCCTTAAAGAGACCAGAGCATTCTTTGCCTCTTCCTCTTTCCCTCTGGCTGGAATGTGGACATGATGGCCAGAGAATGAGCGGCCACCTTGGACTATGAAGTGTTGAGGGTGGAACAACAAGATAGAAGGAGTCTGGGTCCCTGAGGATCAAAGAGCCATTATACCAGCCCGGGACTGCCTGCTTCCAGATTGGTAATAAGAAAAAGAAATCAGTGTCTGTCCTCTTTAGGTCACTCTTCTTGTGGGCTCCCTTCCACTCTCAGCCAACTCCAAACCCAGTAGATCCAGTTGGCACAGATGATCTTGGAGCTATGTGGCCCACCTTGATGTGCAGGGAACAGAGGATGCTCCTGGGCCGTCAACTTCCTGTTCACACTGTCAGGCTCCCAGCCCTGACTGCCCAGCTCTGTCCGTCCAAGGGCACAGCCTAAGTCAGCCCAAAGGAATTGGCTGGGATCTCCGGCTAGGCCAAGCTCTGATAGGTGCAGAGCTCATTAGGGCCTGAGACCAGGCCTCCTGCTGCTGCCCTCGTAACTTTGAGGAGCAGGACATGGAGAGGATGGTGGACCATGGCAGGGTGGCACTGTCCATCCTCGTGGGCCACTTCCAGCCCCTTCTCACCCACCCTCCACGTTGCACCTAAGCAAGCTTCTTAGTGCCCTCTCCCGACCTCGTGAATTCCACACATCAGTGTCTTCCCACAGCCCTCCAAGGCCCTCAAGATGACATCCAGTCACCTATGTGGCCCACTAGGCCCTGTAGGACATGGGCCCTGCTTGATTCTTCAATGCTCAAACCCATGGGCACGAATCCCAGCTCTTCCTCTTAGAAGATCTGTGGACTCAGGTAGCTTGCTAAAGCATTTTGGGTCTTAATTTCCTCATCTATGAAATGGAGATGATAAGAACAGCTACTTCCTAAGTTGTGAAGCTTAAATGAGTCAGCACAGGGATTCTGGTGATTTACTGTGGCATAACAACCCCAACGTGTAGTACTGTTAACCATTTTCTTATGCTCACAGATTCAGACAGAGCACATGGGGGTGGCTTCCTTCTGTTCTACAGTATCTGGGGCCTCAGCTGAAAAGAGTTGAAGGCAGGGGACTAGAATCATCTAGAATTGTCTTCCCCTCACATGTGTGGCAGTTAGGAGTGGCACAGTGGAGACTGCAGGCCAGAACATCCACACCTGGCCTCTCCGTGGGTCCTGGGCTTCCTCCTAGCATGCAGGCTGGGTTCCAACAGTTCCAAGAGTGAGTGTCCCCAGAGACTCAAGCAGAAGTGGCATGGTCATTTTTTTTATTATTTATTTATTTATTTATTTTGAGAAGGAGTCTTACTCTGT
Organism: Homo sapiens; assembly: GCF_000001405.40. Taxonomy (NCBI): domain Eukaryota; kingdom Metazoa; phylum Chordata; class Mammalia; order Primates; family Hominidae; genus Homo; species Homo sapiens. The sequence continues at coordinate 702,821 of NC_000020.11, read as the reverse complement.
TGCCCAGGCTAGAGTGCAGTGGCACGATCTAGGCTGACTGCAACCTCTGCCTCCCGGGTTCAAGTGATTCTCCCGCCTCAGCCTCCCGAGTAGCTGGGATTACAGCTACCACGCCCGGCTAATTTTTTTGTATTTTTAGTAGAGATGGGGTTTCACCATGTTGGTTGGCCAGGCTGGTCTCAAACTCCTGCCCTCGGGTGGTCCGCCCACCTCAGCCTCCCAAAGTGCTGGGATTACAGGCGTGAGCCACCGCACGCAGCCAGCATGGTCATTTCTAACCATATTTTATTCCTGGGAGCAATCAAGAGAGGGGACATAGGCCCCACTTCTTGATTAGAGGAATTTAAAGGAATGTGGAGTCATATTTTAAAATGGCTTGAACAGTGCCTGATCCCATAAGCACTTATACAACAACTAGGAGAAGTAGTAATGGTATAATAGTACCAGGGTTCAATCCTATGTGTGTTGAAATAGTCATATCAGGTGACACTAGTCATAAAGGGGTTAATGGAGGAAGCATGGGGACAGGTCCCTGGAACCTGACATCCCACCTAGGCCAGACAGACACTGAAGGATACAGCTAGGATAATATAAGCTGAAATGTCTTGGTGCCAGGCACCAAGCCAAGCACTTTCCATGAACGATCTCGTATCATTCATACAGTAATCCAAGAGGCAGATCCTAACATTATGCCCATTGACGGATGAGAAGCCAGAAGCTCAGAGAGGTAACGGGTCTTGCCCAAGGCCACACAGCCAGAAAGAGGCACAGCAAAGATTTGAACTCAGGCAGTGGGTTGTCAGCCCTGGTCCTCACTTCCCAAGACTAAGCTGGGCAATAGTCCAGCCTGCCAGGTGGAACAGGCCGTCCTGACTGTTTGGTGACAGACAGGGAGGGCTTGTTCTGCTGGACGGAGAGCCAGGACCAGGAGGTTTGTCAGCTGCAAGCCTACAGCCACAGGCTGGGGGAATGGGGCCAAGACCTCCGTCTGGAAGAGTGGGGGAGGGAGTGTGTGGAGAGAACCCAAAGAGCAAGGCAGAGCCCCCTCCAGAGGCAGCTGAGCCCTGAGGATGGAAATAAAGCCCAGGGATCACAACAGGGCCCCAACTTCTGCTTCCTGGAGCCCCAACCAGCTTGTCACTGGTCCCCCACCTGGAGCAGGGCTCACCTGCTACTGGAGGTCAGGAGGTCTCAGCTGTAGGGTGAGGAGGATGGGGAGAGGACCACCATTCCATACAACAGCCAGGGAAAGGGCACAGAGGGGGCACTTCCAGCAGCAACAAGCACACCTGGGGGGCGGGGTGCAGGATGACTCTATCTTCTCTTCTCATCTACTCCCTCTCCCTTCCTTCCCTCCTTCCACTCCTTCCTTCTATCCCCTCTTCTACTGATTGATTGATTGATTGATTGAGACAGAGTTTCATTCTTGTTGCCCAGGCTGGAGAGCAACCTCCGCCTCCCGAGTTCAAGCGATTCTCCTGCCTCAGCCTCCAGAGTAACTGGGATTACAGGCATGCACCACCACACCTGGCTAATTTTGTACTTTTAGTAGAGACAGGGTTTCTCCATGTTGGTCGGGCTGGTCCCGACCTCAGGTGAACCGCCCACCTTGGCCTCCCGAAGTGCTGGGATTACAGGCATGAGCCACCATGCCCGGCCCCCCTCTTCTATTTATTTATTCTATACTTCACTCCCTATTTCTCCCTCCTCCTGTCCCCCCTCCTTCCCTTCTTGTCTTCTCTCCTTCCTTCCATTCCTTCTTCACATGGAACCTCACAGATGGGAGAAGCTACATTCTCCAAAGACAAGGGGAAACCTGGCCTGAACCTGGCCCTAAAAAAACCCATTTTATGGATTTCACCATAAAACGAAACATGAGGCCAGGAGCCATGACTTACACCAGCACTTTGGGAGGCCAAGACGAGAGGATCCCTTGAGGCCAGGAGTTCCAGTCCAGCCTGGGCAATAGAGCGAGACCCAGTCTCTACTAATAATAAAAAATTAAAAAATTAGCCAGGCATGGTGGCATGCTCCTGTGGTCCCAGCTACTCAGGAGGCTGAGGTGGGAGGATCTCTTAAGCCCGGGAGGCTGAGGCTGCAGTGAGCCATGACTGCACTACACTTCAGCCTGGGCAGCTGAGTGAGACTGTCTCTAAAAAAAAAAAAAAAAAAGAAAGAAAAGAGAGAAAGAAACATGATTCCTAAGCTGTCACAAAACCAGCCCTAACAGTGTCACGAGCCTGCAATAACTTCCCTTGACCCTCCAGAACTTAGCTGGAAAAGGGGTGTCAACTCCTCTTTGTCCCCTAAGTATAGATGGCATCCAGGGTGTGTGAGTATCCCGGGTGTTCCTGGGAGGCTCATGGGGCATGGATGATAAGCTGGATCACCTTGAGCTAATGGCTAAGCCCCTCTGAGCCTCCGTTTTCTTGGCTAAAACAATTTACAATTTTGTGGGGCTGAGACCGGGTGACACGCAGTTGCACCCTGTCACAGGAGTGCTTTGGCCTTGCTTAGTCCCTTGCTGGCACCGGCCTCTGACCTTTCTCCCAGGCCTGGGGGCAGAGCCAACTCCCAGCTGATGTTGGCGAGCGTCTGGGAGGGTGGACAGGCAGGCTGTCGGGGCCGGCCGCGTGCCCAGAGAACCTTCTGTGCCACTGTTCCCTCAGCCAGGCAGACTGGGCCCATCGGCCACTTCCTGTGCCCCTGGCAGGACAGGGCTGCAGGCCCCTCCTCTCCTGCATCTCTGCTCAGCTGATGGTGGTGGCCACCCCTCCTCCCCCCAAGCCCTGGAAACAGAAGTCTCCAATATAAATGCAAATTTGCTGCAGTCCCCAGGCTGGCAGCTCCAGCCTGTGCTGCAGGCTGGGGACAGGAGCTGACACTGGCCCAGAGGAGATAAGGCACTTCTGGGCCACCCCCGCCCCCGGAACCAACCACTCCTCAGCCTGTCAGCTCCACAAAAACCCCAGGGAATCCTGGCCAGCTTGCTTCTTTTCCTCTTCACTGTCCCATAAGGCCTGCACTGGGCTGCAAAGGGCCCCCCTTGCCACAATTAAGGAGGGGGCATCCCTCAATGGTGAAGATGCTCACCCGCCTGCCCTCCAGGGACTGGCAGGAACAAAGCAGGAAGCAGGAGAGGTGGGAAAAAGGATGGCACAACGATGTGGGGATCTCACCTCTGCCCCCATCCTCCACGAGGCTCAGGGCCACCCCTAGCCCATAGCATTCCTTTGTGTGAATTAGAAACAGGTACCCTTTCTTCCTGGTGCAGCCCCCTGGTGGGATGCAAGGCATCCCCTTAGCCTCCAGTTGGGCTCCCTGGAGCCCAGCACAACTTGCACAGCTGTAAGCTACAGCCTTTGGCAGGACCCATCTCGTCTCTGGGACTTGGTTTCCCTTTGGCCAGGGGAATCATCTAGAGTGACCCCTAACGTGGCATAACTCCACTGTCGGCAAGTGCATGAAGCTCCTGGAGTTGGACAAGGCAGCACCACAGGTGAGGTCTCTCCAGCTTGGATATCTTACCATCCTTTCATCCCTAGTTCCTGGACACTCCGTTCCCTAAGCCAGGACTCCATGATTTTTTTTTTTTTTTTTTTTTTTTGAGACAGAGTCTAGCTCTGTCACCCAGGCTGGAGTGCAGTGGTGGGATCTCGGCTCACTGCAACCTCCACCTCCCAGGTTCAAGCAATTCTCCTGCCTCAGCCTCCTGAGCAGCTGGGATTACAGGCTCGCACCATCATGCCCTGCTAATTTTTTGTATTTTTAGTAGAGACGGGGTTTCACCATGTTGGCCAGGCTGGTTTTGAACTCCTGACCTCAAGTGATCCACCCGCCGCAGCCTCCCAAAGTGCTAGGATTACAGGCATGAACCACCGTGCCCGGCCAACTCCATGATTCTTAACAAGGGATTGAGTCTCTGGCAAAAGCATTCTGTGATCCACAGGAGACAGAGGAGGGGAAGTTTGGAGTCAGATGCAGGACTCTCCCATGCCGCAAGCCCAGGTTCAAGTCCAGACGTTACTGGCTCTGGCTCTAATGTCACCTCCTCAGAGAAGCCTTCACGGATGGCCTCATCTGGAGCAGTTCCTTCTCCACCTCCAGAGGCCATATCACATTGCCCTGTGGGTTTTTTCTCCCTGGCATTTATCGTTATGTGAAATTATCTCATTCATTGATGTCTTCCCGTGGTTATTTTCTGGCTCCCCTCTCCCTTACTGGAATTCAAATTTCTACAAGAGCAGACACCATGAATCAATAACTCCTGCCCTTGACACTTTCTGGGGGATAATGACACCTCCCCTCCCATTGCGTTAGTGTAAAGTGTGCAGTGAGACAGCCAGAGTTGCTCAGCACAGAGCCAGCCCGCAGCGAGCACTCCATAAATGCTAATGGTGGTTGTTATTGTTATTAGGAGAGGGCTGTGAGTGCCCTAGTCCCAGAGGTGCAACTCCTGACACATCTCCACAAATTCCACACCAAATTCCGCTTCTTCCAGCCATGCTGCCCACACCCACCACTGAGGCCTTTTACTCACCTGAGACCCTGGGCAAATTGCTGCGTCTCTCTCTGCCTCCGTTTCCTTCTGTAAACTGACAAGGCAATCTCCTTATTGCCTGAAACTCCACAAAGTTGCTGTGAGTGTCAAATGACACAATGAGAAGGATCACACTTTATAATCCCTAAATATGATTTAAATACCAGGAAGAGCTCCGAAAGCCCCTCCCAGCCGCCCGGCCTTTGACTGTGGCAGCCTCACTGCACCCTCCAGAGCCTCCCAGTGCCCTCCGCCTGGAATCCCAAGGCCCTGCTTTCTCCTGACCCAACCCAGCCCTGGCTTAAGGCCTTCCTCACGGAGCGGTTTCCACCGAAGCAGTGTTTCTCGAAGTTTGGGCGGAATCACACCACCTCCTCCCCACCCCCATCTGCAGGCTATCTTCCACCAATTTACTTAATATTTTTCTTTAAATAGCCTCATTTAAAAAAACAAAAAGCCAGTTCACGCTAATGGGAAACTTTGTGCTGCCATACATGAAAATTAATATCAATTACTATAAAAGTATCAATTACTATACATGTTGATATTTGCTAAAATAAATGCTTAAGAATTAAATGCTTGGCACCCACCTCTTACCCCTCTGAAGGAAGGGAATCCTGATCTAAGGCTTTCAAGTTCTCTGGGAGACTTCTTTTTATTTTTCTCATCCAAGACAACCCAGGAGACTTTTAAAAGATTCCTGACCGGGAGCACGGTAGCTCATGCCTGTAATCTTTTTGGAAAGCCGAGGCACGTGGATTGCTTGAGCCAGGAGTTCGAGACCAGCCTCATCAACATGGCGAAACCCCATCTCTACAAAAAATACAAAAATCAGCCAGGCATGGTGGCATGTGCCCGTGGTCCGAGCTACTCGGGAGGCTGAGGTGGGAGGATCATTTGAGGCTGAGGTGGGAGGATCATTTGAGCCCAGGAGGTCAAGACTGCGTGAGCCGTGATCGTGACACTGCACTCCAGCCTGGGCAACAGAATGAGACCCTGTCTCTTAAAAAAAACCGAAATCCTTCATTGACTGGACAAACATTTTTATGAGAATGTTATGTGCCCAGCCCAGGAGGTAGCAGCTGTAGTGGACCCCTTTTCTTGCCTTCAACACATAGAGGTGCTGGTTGAAGCAGGAGCTTATGGCCATTGGAAATGCAATTAATTAGCCAAGAATCATTACCAAAGCAGGCCTAATTTCTTGGCTCTTTTCTCTTAATAGTACTAATAATGGCATCTTACCTGTCAGGAGTCAGGAGAGGGTAGGAAGGAAGAGGACAGGGAAAATCTTTAACTGCTACAGTAACTATTTCTGCACACAACAGAACATGCCTGCTAACAGCTCCAGTTCAAAACATCATCTCCAGGACCCCTACTTTGCTGATTCCAGACTCTTGGGAAGGGCAATTGAACACAATGGCATATTGCTTCTTGGAAAGGAATCAAAAGTGGATCCTCTGGCAAATTTGGTCAAATGTATCCGAAGCCTTAAATTCTATGGGCAATTTCATTTCTATGACTTTATCTAAGAGAAATGATCATGAATGTGGACCCCAACAGCTTCAGGATATTCTTGGCAGCATTATTGATCATATGAAAGCTGAAAGCAACTTAAATGTTCATCACAGGGGATTCAGTAAATAAAGACTGTATATTCCATACAATGGAAAACTATGCAACCATTTACCAAAGATGTTGTAGACTATTTAAACATGGAAAAAATGTTCCTTCATGTTAGGTAAGTGGAAAAGTAGCTACAAAACAGGATGCACATATGATCTTTTTAAAATATATATATACATGTGCCAGGCGTGGTGGCTCACGCCTGTAATCCCAGAACTTTGGGAGGCCGAGGTGGGCAGATCATGAGGTCAGGAGATCGAGACCATCCTGGCTAACATGGTGAAACCCTGTCTCTACTAAAAAATACAAAAAAAATAGCCGGGCATGGTAGCGGGCGCCTGTAGTCCCAGCTACTCCGGAGGCTGAGGCAGGAGAATGGCGTGAACCCAGGAGGCGGAGCTTGCAGTGAGCCGAGATTGCGCCACTGCACTCCAGCCTGGGGGACAAAACGAGACTCCATCTCAAAAAATAAATAAATAAATAATATATATACATGTGCATCATAGAAACATGGGGATGGCTTTGGGTTGGAAAGGATTCCTGAAGCAAGAAACAGAAAGGACAAACCATAAAGGCATATATTAATAAATTAGTTACATTACAACCGATACCGTTCATCAAAGTTCACCATTTTTTAAAAGTGGAAAGACAAGTCACAAGCTAGAAGATGTCCGTAACAATTTAACTGACAAAGATTAGCACCCAAATATATAAAGAACCCCTACAATTCAATAAGACAAGGACAAACAATCAAAAAGAAAAATGGACTAAAGATTTGGACAGACATAGAGAAGCGAAAACATGAATAGCCAACAAACATTTGAAAAGATGCTCAACCTCTGAGTAATTAGAGAAATCCAAATTAAAAGCTCATTTCCTGTCTACTCAATTGGCAAAACTTAAAAAGCTAGACAAGTCCAAATGTGATCAATTATGTGGAACAAGGACTCCTTGACACTGGTGATAAGGGAGTCAGTTGTACAACCACTCTGGAGAACAATTGGGCATTATTTTGCACTTATTCCCAGCAATCCCTTCCTGGAGACATTCTAGAAAAACATATCAGGAGGTATGTACAACAATGTTTAGACTGGCAGGATTGAGCCCTTCCTCGGGCACCTAATAAATTCTTCTTTCTTCTTTACTGCCTTCTTTGCACTTCTGGGTGGTGTCACTCAACCCTGTCAGGTAGTCACTGGGCAAGCCAGATTCCATGGGCAGAAGTGGGCATCATCTTTGTGAAAGTAGTGACCCTCCCAGGGAGCCTGGGAGAGGCCAAGACTGCCCAGTGTGTTAGGAAAAGAGGTGGCAGGGTTGTGGGCATGTCTAGTTAATAAATGACAGTTCATCCAAATAACAGACTGCTCTGCTGCTGTACAAAAGAATGGGCAGCTCCACATGAGCCAATAGGAAACATCTCCAAGATGTACTGCCAAGAAAAAAGAAAAAAAGCAGGCAGAACAGCCACCATTGTGAAAAGGGGAGGAGTCAGGTGTATATATACATGTTCATTAGCATGTGCACAAAATACCTTTGAGTACAGGAAACGCCTCAGTGGGGAGAGGGTGCGTGGCTGGGGGTCAGAGGTGGGAGAGAGACTTGCTTTTCAGGGCATCTCCTTTTGTTCCTTTTTATTTGTACATTGCACATGATACTACGAAAAAATAAATACAATAATGTTAAAATGGAAACAAAATGCAGTCACATCACATAGAACGCATATGTAACTATTAGGAGACTTGGGCGTTGCTCATGACCCATTGACACAATGCTACTTGGTAGGCACTTCACTAAGTCTTTCAAGTTTGGAAAGTTTTAAAATATTTTTCCAGCCAGCTTTTTTAGATTTCAGACTTCTCCATGGATCCTTGACGAGCCCATGGCTTCTTGGCATTGTGCCTACTGGGCCAAATGCACAGAGCAGAACTTATCACCTATGCCCAGCAGCCCACTGGTTCTCCAAGGGCTACTCTTCAACACGCATTCCATTGACTTCCATCATCGACTGGGTCCCACCCCAGGGGTGCTTTTTAGTGCAAGTGAATCCATGGAGGAACTCGCATGACCCTCCCCTTCCTCAGGAACCAAAATTGCACAAGGTGACTTTCAGGCCTTCAGCCTCCCATCAGGCTAGGTGGTATATATGTGTCTCTCCACCTGTGATACTCTGCTGTCTCTCCTCCCTGCACCCCCTTGTTCACTGTGCTCCAGCCACACTGGCTTTCTTGTTTCTCAACCCCGGCAACTATGATAGGCAGATTCTAAGATGGCCTCCAGGATTTCAGCCCAGTCCTCCCCATCCTGTGTACATGTCCTGTAAAATACCCTGCGCTGTGAATATGGTGGCGTTTACTCTTGTGATCAGCTTATGTTATTTGGCATAAATGGCCTTAAGATACGGAAAATCTCTGGGTATGCTTGATACGGTTTGGATGTGTGTCTTCTGAAATCTCACGTTGAAATGTGATTCCCAGTGTCGGAGGTGGGCCTGGCGGGAGGTATTGGATCACCGGGGCGGATTCCTCATGAATGGTTTACCACCATCCCCTTGGTAATAAGTGAGTTCTCACCCGGTTAGTTCACAGATCTGCTTGTTCAAAAGAGTCTGGGGCCAGGCGCCATGTCTCATGCCTGAATTCCCAGCACTTTGGGAGGCCAAGGTGGGCAGATTGCCTGAGTTCAGGAGTTCGAGACCAGCCTGAGCAACATGGCAAAACTCCATCTCTAACAAAAATGCAAAAAAATTAGCTGGGCATGGTGGCGTGCACCTGTAGTCCCAGCTGCTCAGGAGGCTGAGGCATGGGAGTCACTTGAACCCGAGAGGTGGAGGTTGCAGTGAGCCGAGATCATGCCACTGCACTCCAGCCTGGGCAACAGAGCAAGACTCTGTCTCAAAAAACAAAAATAAAAAATAAAAGAATCTGGCACCCTCCCCTTCTCTCTCTTGCTCTGGCTCTCACCATGTGACACCACTTGCTCTCCCTTCACCTTCTACCATGATTAGAAGCTTCCCGAGGCCTCACCAGAAGCAGATGCTAGAGCTATGCTGGTACAGCCTGCAGAGCCATGAGCCAATTAAACCACTTTTCTTTATAAATCACCCAGCCTCAGGTATTTCTTTATAGCAATGCAAAAGTGAACTAACACAGTACCTGATCTAATCCTAAGAGCCCTTTTAAAGCAGTGAGTTTTTCCCGGTTGGTCACAGAAGAGGAAGTCAAAGACATGAAGCATAAGGAGGATTCAAAACACCATTGCTCACTTGAAGATGGAGGGGCCACACATCAAGGAATGCAGGTGGCTTCTAGCCAACAAAAAAATCGTCTGTTACGGTCAGTCCCACAACCGCAAGACGCTGAACATTGCGAACAACAAGAATGAACTTGGGGGCAACCCATTTTCGCCAGGACCCCTCTCTCTGCAACAGAGAGAGCTTTTCTCTTTCTTTTGCCTATTAAACTTCTGCTCTTAACCTCACTCTGGTGTGTCCGAGTCCTAGTTTTCTGTGGCCATGAGACAACGAACCTTGGGTATTACCTCAGTTGAACAACACCACTTCATTGTGGGGGCCTGCCTGGGATCCGACGTAGATTCATTGAAAGAGTGAGTATAGGCACAGACCCCAGCTCTTTCATTTTAAGGACTCTGTCCTCCATTTTCTCAGGGAACAGGCTTGCCGGGGAGAACTTAGCCAATCCTTCAGTGCCCTCAGGGTGCTGGGAATGTTGGCTTTGTTTCCAACTGGTCTCCTTTCATGGAGAGCTTAGCCATCATGTGGGGCTGGAAGAAGTTCAGAGGCAACTGAGAGTTCCTGGCCAGGGCAACACCCTGGCATTACCTGAAGACTTCTGGACTAACCCCAGCTTCCAACAGCCCGATGGGTGACAGCAACAGGATCTCCAAGATTTTTCTATCGAAAAATTTCCTCCTTTCCTCTCTGCAACTGCACAAAAAAAAAAAGAAAAAGAAAAAAAAGAAAAGAAAAGAATGAAATTGGAAGTGGATTTTTTCCCCAGAGCCTTCACATAAGAACTAAGCCCAACCTACACCTTGGTTTCTACCTTGTAATATCCTGAGCAAAGAACTCAGTTGCTCTGTGCCAGACGATGACTTACAGAACTGTGAGCTAAATGGCTGTTGTTTGAAGCCACTAAGTTGGTGATGATTTGTTACATAGCAATAGACACTAATACACAGGCCAAGCTGGTCCCACTCTGGGCCTTTTCTCAGATGGGTCCCTCGGCCTTTGAGACTCTCCCCAAGTATCCATGGAGCTACTCCCTCCCTCCCACTAGGTCTCTGCTCAAAGGTCCTCCCCTAGAGAGGCCTGCCTGGACCATACCATCTAGAATAGCACCACCCCCTCATTTTCTGTTCCTCTGCCCACTTGATTTTTCTATATATCACTTATCATTACTTGACATCATATGGTTTCAGTTTCATGTAAATAACTTTATTGTAAAATAATGTTAAACCTACAGAAGAGTTGCAAACATTGTACAAAGAATTCTCATATATTGTTTACCCAGAATCCCCAAATATTGACATTTAAACATATTTGCTTTATCATTCTCTCTTAGAGATTTATATATAGAGAGATTTTCTTTGAATTGTTTGAGAGTAAATTGTCAATTTGATTCCCTGTTATCCTGGAATACTTTAGTGTACATTTCCTAAAAGCAAGTATATTCTCCTACATAACCACAATAAAATCATCAAAATCAGGAAATTGACATTGATATATTACTACCATCCAATCTTCAGAGCCCAGTCAAATATTGTCCATTGTCTCAATAATAATGTCCTTTATAATAAACAAAAAGATCCATCCAGAATTACTCATTGTATTTCATTGTCTTATCTCTTTAGTCTCCTCTAATCTGTGACGGTCCCTCAGTTTTTCTTTGCCTTTCATTACCTTGATACTTACCCAGGTTACAGGCCAGTTGTTTTGTAGAAGGTTCCTCAAATTGGGTTTATGTGACGGCTCCTCGTGATTAGATTTCAGTTTTGCATCTCTGGCAGGAACATCACAGAAGTGATTTTTCACTCTTCCCTGTGCATCCCATCAGGAGCCTCATGTCAGTTTGTCCAGTAACAGTGATGCAGCCTTTGATCACTCGACTAAGATAGTCTCTGCCATGTTTCTTCGCTATAAAGTCACTCTCCTTCCTTTTGCAGGTATTGTATCTTGTGGAAAGACTCTTTAAGACTATGTAAATATCCTACTCCTCAACAAATTTTCACACAATGGCTTTAGTTTTAGCATCTAGTAATGCTTCTTGTTTGAATCAATTATTACCATACTAGTTGCATCCTTCCTTCCACACCTATTATTGGGCATTCTAGTGTAAGAAAGAGCTTTCTCTTTCTGCACATGTGTGTATGTATGTATGTGTGTATGTAATACGTGTATGTGTCTGTATATCAGGACTATTTATATTTCATGGCTTATAATCTGTTACTGTCATTATTTTGATACTCAAGTTGTCCCAGATTTGGCCATTGGGAGTCCCTTTAAGTTGGCACCTTGGTCTTTTGACATGTCCTCAGCATTACTTGAGCACTTGCCTATCATATGGCACAGCTAGATGTTTCATGTACCATGGTACCAGGCACAGGGCACTTTTCCTGCTCCAGCCCTCAAATCTACTATTTTCCCAAGCCCCAGTTCCTTTCAGTGGAGAATAGTATTTAAAACCCAAGATCTAGGTGTTAGGTGTATTCGTGGCTACATGGTGTATTGATTATTGCTGTCTTTTTGGACAGAACTGGGAAATGCACATATGCATCACACACACACACACACACACACACACACACACACACACACACACACTTGCATGCATGCTTATGTAACTATATATATCAAAAGCTATGAGTTTACACTGATTCCTCTAACTCCAATCTAACACCACAGGGTTCTTTCTAGCCTTTCCTGTTTTCATACTTGTAATTCCCTTCTCTGATGCTGAGCAACCTGGCTCTCATTATCCTTGATATATGAACCTGTTTGTTCAATCCCCAGGCACACTGAGCCACCACCTCACTCAGCTGCCTTTGTTGCTTAGTCCCAAATCTCAACAGCTACCTCCAACAAATGCTGAGGAAGGAAAGGAGGAAAGAGGAAGCTGAATATTTATTTTCTCTTTTTTGAACTAGTAATACATTCACTTCATACAAAAATAAAAGTTATAGAAAAGTATACAGTGAAACTCTCCCCTTCCTGTCTCTCATTCCAACCCTACTCCTCTCCTTGGGTAACAACTATTATTAGTTTCATATATACACAAGCTAATAGAAATACATTTTTCAAATTGTCTCCTCTTTTACAGAAACTATCCTTCACATTCCTTTTCTTATTTGTCAAAACATCTTAGGGAGCTTTCTATATCAGTACATAAGAAATGGTCTCACCAGTGACGAGTTTAAGACCAGCCTGGTCAACATAGTGAGATCCCATCTCTAAAAAAAGTAAATAAAAATAAACAGAAATAGAAATGGTCTCACCCTTTTTAATGGCTATATAATATTCCATACTTCAGTCAGCCCATGTGTAACAGGCATTTAGATCATTACTAAGATTTTGCTATGCCAAACAAAATTGCAATAAATAACCATGAATGCATTCATTCCACATGTATGCAAACATGTCTATAGAATAAGTTTTCAGAAGTGGGATTGCTGGTATGACCTTTTATGCTTATGTGTTTCACGATTAATGGTCTGTCTCCCCTCTTAGAATGTCATCTCCAAGAGGAAAGGGACTCTGTTCTAGTCACTGCTGCTTTCCCAGGAACCATTAGAACATGGTAGGCACTCAATAAACATTTATCCACTGAATGAGTGAATGACTAATGCACTCTGATTCTGGACTTCACCATGTCAAGCATTTCGTAGCCCCTGTGCATCAGGCGCTACGAACCATTCTCCAAACACCCCCGGGAAGTAGGAATTGTTTGACAGCCCCATTTGACAGATGAGAGTCCTGAGGCTCAGAGAAGGACCACAACTAGGCTGATGTCACACAGCTAGCCAAAGCCACACCACAGTTTCCACCAGGTGAGTCAGGCCCTGGAGTCTGCTGCCACGAACCACTGTGCCTGTGCCACATACACAGGTCAGTCTCCCAGCCCCGCATGGATCCCTCCTCTCACCCACCAGCTTTCCTGGTCCCATCTACTGCCCCCTGCCCTGGCCTCATCCCCAGCTGAAGACACTTACACTTGCCCCTACCCTGAGCCAACACAGGACAGGACGAAGGAGAGGAGCTGTCATTTCCATACAGCTGTCCCTGGGAGCCAGGCCCTGCCCAAGCCCCCCCATTTTCCCTGAAAAGGCTGAATTGTCTTGGCCGTTTGGGGGGCACCTCTCAGCACAGGCCGGGCTGCCTGGGCAGGGTTTGGCTAGGCTATTATCCTACATTATCTCACTCCCCTGCTCCTGAAAAGAACCAGTGACTGCTCACCGCCCTCAGCCCTCCCCTGCCTGCTCCATCTTTTACACTTAATTACCTCACTCACTACCCCGCAGCCTGCAGAGGCCGGACCACAACTGGGGCGTGAGTAATCCCCGCATCGCACACCCAGCCAGCCGGCCAGCAAGCAGCAAATTGCTCACACGGCCCATAAATAAAGGAACAGGGCGTGCTTGGGCCTTCGGAGCAGAAGGCCCCTTGTGGTGGCTGCCGTGAGGGGCAGGTATCGGCCCCAGCTTCCCAGTTGGCCTTTGCCAGCCCTGGTGAGATGTCTCCACCTCCTCCACCCCAGAGGTGACCTTGAACTTCCCCAGGCCACTGAAGTCACAGCTCAATGCCACTGAGACAGATGGGGCAGCAAGCGCCAGCACCCCTTCCCCCCCACGACCAGGGTACCGCCAAGCATGACTTCCAGGGGCCTGCCTGACCCCCCCAGCCATCTCCCCGCTTCTCTCCTCCCCTCCCCATCCCCGCCATGGAATACTTTGTAAGCCCTGTGTCCTCTTTCTTTCCTAGCTTCGTTACTCATGCTGTTTCTGCTCCCTGAACACTTTTTCTCAGCACTCAGGGGTCTGGTTACTTCCTACTCATCTGAGAGGCCACTTCCTCTGGGAAGCCTTCCCTGATCCCTCTGGGCTGGGTTGGGGGCCTCAGGTACTTCCCCCATCAAAGCATCAAGCCTTTCCATTGTCACTGTCTGCTTTTCTCTTTTGAGGGAAGGACTGAGCCTTACGCATCTGCCTTTTGCCTATAGCACCCAGCCCAGGTCCTGGCACGTCACCAGGCTATTGACTAGGCGCTAAACAAATGTGAGTAAGTAAATGAGTACTTAGCAAATAACTTATCATTTCCAAGTCACAGTGCATGTAAATTATATTTCAAGATATGCGGAACGTCTGTAATGTCATTTTAAAAAATCTGTGATTTCTATTGGTGACAAAGTCACAGGTCCTGCTAATACCACTGTGGTCTGTTGCCTGCATTCATAATTGAAGGAATGATAAGTTTCAGATAGAGGTTAATGAAATTAAAGATGTAATACTTTCCCTATCCAAGTTAATGACAGACCAACTAAATTCTTTCCATGGACCCCAGGTTAGGACTTGTGATAGGGAATGACATTACTTCACTTTACACAGCTTGGCAGACATCGTTAATCAATTGCAGCAGTCTTTCTCAGTGAGCCCAAACTCAGTTACAGCATCTATCTCAGCACCATGTTCCAGGCTACGGACCAGTCAAGATTGGGCTCTTGAGCTGTAATCGACTTGGCATTCCTGGGAAGTGAGAGAGGGGCAATACTATTATAAGCGTGAAATTAAGGGAGAAGGGCAGTAAAGTGAGGTTTTGCAACAATATGTGGGTAGAGGACCATGAAAACAAAACGCTTGCTAGTAGCTTGATATATGCCACCCAGGGAAACAAAACAAGCTTATTAAATGTCTGGTCATGTAATTAGAAGTCCGGTATCTACGGTAAGGGAGGTGACAGTTTCATTCTGCTCAGCTCCATTCACCTATTTCTGGAGTTTTGTGCTCAGTTCTGGATCCTGTATATTCAGAAGAACACTGACAGACTGGAAAATGGTTCGGGGAAGCAACCAGGATGGGGAGATGTGTGGAAACTGTATCCTGTGCCACTGATTTGTTGACACCATGGACATGCATTGAGCCTTTCCTCTGAGCCGCTCTGTGCTAGGATCTGGGGACACAAAAATGAACAACCCAGGCCCCTGCCCTCAAAGTGAGGACAGTGGAAAGAACTTGGTATGTGCATATCCCCAAGGGGCCATCTGGGCCAGAAGGATGGAGTCTGTGCACAGAGAGCTGAACATGAGAAAAATAGTACCAGTGGAGTTTCCAGACAATGGCGTGAGCTGCTAAATCATCCAGGACCCATGGCTGCAGACGTGCCTGAAGGATCTCCAGGAGGGTCAGAAGGCTTACAGGCTTCATATCCAGAAAAGAAAAAAGCCCTCAAATCAGACCAAAGCCCTGGCCTGAGGGAGACTTCACTGCTGACACCACGGGTCCCCAAGACAGAGCTCGTGCTGCTGACACCAACGCTGGATGCTGACACCAGGACTTTAGTCCTTGCTACCTCTGGACACTCAATGTAGCAACCACCACACCCTCAACAGAATGGCACGAGGCTAATCTGGGTCACTTGACTGCCCCCTGGCCAAGACGGGGCTGGGAAGGCCAGCAATGATACCATGAGTGGGAGGTGAGGTCTCAGAAGCAAGGAGTTGGAGGGTGCTGGACGGCCAAAAGGAAGGTCACCTGCCCACTCCAGCCACCAAGGACTAGGTGAATCTGGTCAGCCCAGCTCTGAGCCCAGCATTTTACATGGACCATCTCTGTTAATCAACTCAGCTCTCAGAATTGTAAGCTATGCTTTTCAATCCCCATTTTACAGATGAGAAAAGTGAAGCTCAGAGAATCTAGGTCATGTGCCCCGTTCTTTTAACTGCTCCAGGAAGGTAAGTTCGCGGGGGCAGGGGAGTCATTTATCCACACTGAAGTTGATCTAGCCAACTGGGCTCTAGGCACCACCAGTCCTGGGATCTCCTGGATTCCACCCTGAATCTGCCACAGCAATGCTAAAGCAGATTTCCTGAGGCTTCACCCAGCACTTGCTGCATTCTGGACTCTACACAAAAGTCACCTCCTCAGAGAGGTCTTCCTTGACTACCCTATCTAAAATGGCTCTCGCTCCACCTCTCTTTTTTTTTTTTTTTTTGAGATGGAGTCTATCTCTGTCGCCCAGGCTGGAGTGCAGTGGCGCGATCTCGGCTCACTGCAAGCTCCGCCTCCCGGGTTCACGCCATTCTCCTGCCTCAGCCTCCCGAGTAGCTGAGATTACAGGCGCCTGCTACCACGCCCGGCTGATTTTTTGTATTTTTAGTAGAGACGGGGTTTCACCGTGTTAGCCAGGATGGTCTCAATCTCCTGACCTCGTGATCCGCCCGCCTCGGCCTCCCAAAGTGCTGGGATTACAGGCGTGAGCCACCGCGCCCGGCCTCCACCTCTCTCTGTCTTTGCCCATTTCCCTGCCTGGTGCTTTCTATGACAGGACATTGGCATATCTACCTACTCTTGGCTCAGCAGGATGTAAGCCACATGAGAGCAGGTCTCTGTCTTGTTCATTGCTGTGTCCCCAGCTCTTAGCACAGTGTCTGGCACATGGCAGGTCACAATAAGTATCTGCAGATTTATAGCTGTGAGCCCCTGGGCAATTTTTTTCTTTCTTTTTCTTTGTTGTTGTTGTTTGTTTGTTGTTTGTTTGTTTCTTGAGACAGAGTCTTACTCTGTCACCCAGGATGGAATGCAGTGGCCCGATCTTGGCTCCCTCTTACCTCTGCCTCCCGGTTCAAATGATTCTCATGCCTCAGCCTCAGTAGCTGGGATTACAGGTGCATGCCAGCATGCCTGGCTATTATTATTATTATTATTATTATTATTATTATTATTATTATTATTATTTGTATTTGTATTTGTAGCAGAGATGGGGTTTCGCCATGTTGGCCAGGCTGGCCTTGAACTCCTGGCCTCAAATGATCCACCCACCTCAGCCTCCCAAAGTGTTGGGACTATAGGCGTGAGCCATCGCGCCCAGCTGCTTGGGCAATTTCTTCACCTCGATGTTACCCACTGTCCCCCTTTTTATAAAAGGGGATAATCATGTCATATGCCTCCAAAAGTAGTTGTGAGGGTTCTGTAAGTTCATGTAGTATCACAGCCAAGCAGGCCTTTTCATGAGCACCTGTTGTGTACCAGGCCTATAATGGGGCACCTGTATGGGGTCCCCGCCCTTGAAGAGTTCACCATCTGGATAGGGTTCCAGAAGAATTTCATTGCAGGATCTTGACAGAGCCACAGGAGTCAGAGAGAGGAGAGGCTCCTTGGGGCTGAAAGGCCCAAGAGGTCACTGTAAGAGGATAGCCTCAGAATTAACAATGGCCAATATTATTGAGCACTGGCTGTGTGCAAACACCTCACTCATCTTCCATCTGCCCTTCAAGATAAGCCATTAGTATCAACATCCTCATGTAACAGTTGAAGAAACTGAGATAAAAAGAGGATGGGAAACTTCCCCAGGCTGGGTAACTTGTTGGTAAGCAGCCGAAGTGAACCCAGATCATCCACGCTTTCAACTCTTGTGCTCCCCCTCCCCCTCTGCAGCTAGGTGAGATGGGAGGCTAGGAAGATGAGCACTAGGGGCATGTGGACATTCTGACTCCTTAGCAACCTGTCCACTGGCAAAGTCTGCGGTCAAGCACAGGTCAATATTGACAGCCCCCTGCCTCCATGCACCTGGGCCACCTCCTGGCTTTCTCTAGAAGCTGATGAGTCCCAGCTGGTATATGAGCAGAGGCAGGGAGCAGGAGGCAGAGCCGGGGCTGCTGAGAGGGGTTGATTCCTCTGTGCCAGGAGTCCTGGGAGCCTGGAAATGCCAACTCTGCAGCTCCATTGCCACCTCAGCATCTCCCAGGCATGGTTCTGAGCTCGGCTGGTGGGGAAGAGAGGGAGGCAAGAGAGGCCACCTTGGAGTGAGGAAGCCCATCCTGACTTGGCAGGGAGCCTGAATGTTCCAGGGAAAGCATTTCCCTGTCCCATGCCTCAGGTTCCACAACTGTCAAATGGGGGTGGGGAGGAGACAATGCTGTTATCTCAAAGGCCCTTCAAGTAGAGCTCCCACTTACCAAGGGCTGACTATACATGAAGCCCCCTACAGCCCTACTTAGCAGGTGCTCCCACTGGCCTCTGTTTACAGAGATGAAATAGAGCTGCAAAGAGGCAAAGTAACTTGCCCAGGGCCAACCAGCTTGAAGAGGCAGAGCCAGGATTAAAATTTGGCTCAGCCAGGTACAGTGGCTCACATCTATAATCCCAGCACTTTAGGAGGCCGAGGCGTGAGGATCACTTGAGGCCAAGAGTTTGAGACCAGTCTGGGAAGTATAGCAAAATCCCATCTCTACAAAGAGTTTAAAAATTAGCCAGGGCATGGTGGCATGCACCTGTAGTCCCAGCTGCTCAGGAGGCTGAGGGAGGAGGATCACTTGACCCCAGGAGTTCAAGGCTGCCATAAGCCATGATCACAACACTGCACTACAGCCTGGATGAGAGCAAGACCCTACCTCTACAAAATAAAAATAAAAAATAAAACTTGGCTCAGGGTGACCCAGGCCCAAACGCTGAGTTATCCCACTTGCTTGAATGGTGGGCTCTTGTCTAGGGGCTTTTGGCCAGCCCACCGCTAAACCATGCCAGAGGCCCACCCCAAATACCCTGACCCCGCAGGCAGCCTGGTGATCAGACTCCTGATAGCCAATTCCTTCTTCCAGAGGTTTCAGAGACCTGCTTAAGATGGGACCTTGTCAGGGACAGGAGTTAGAATGTTTAGGGATGTCTCCAACTTTGAAAGAAAGACTTTTTTTCTTTTCTTTCTTTCTTTTTTTTTTTTTTTTAAGACAGAGTCTCACTCCATCACCTAGGCTGGAGTGCAGTGGCGCAGTCTTGGCTCACTGCAACCTCCTCCTCCCAGGTTCAAGCGATTCTCATGCCTCAGCCTCCTGAGTAGCTGGGATCACAGGCACGCCCCATCATGCCCAGCTGATTTTTGTATTTTTAGTAGAGACAGGGTTTCACCATGTTGGCCAGTCTGGTCTCGAACTCCTGAACTCAGGTGATCCACCCGCCTCGGCCCCCCAGAGTGTTGGGATTACAGGCGTGAGCCACCGGACCTGGCCTGAAAGAAAGACATTTTAATGGAGGAATACCAATGTCTGTAACAGTCAAGATAGAAATCTAATTATCACCCAAAACAGAGGGATATCTTGACGGTTGACACGTCAACCTGGCTCTGGTCAAAGGGGACCAAGGTGACTGCGGGTCGCAAGAAGGTTTTTCACTCATTAGTTTATTCATTCAATTGATGTATTTACTGAGCACTTACTATTTACCCGGCTCTGGGTAGACGATGGAGGTGCGGCAATGAATGGAGCAGATCCGGAATCCCACTCAAGGAGCTGTCAGCCCTGGCAGGGGGAAGGGGAGGGACATTCTTTGGAGGGCCCTCACCTACCCACCCTAGCATTGGTATCTTTTGCCCTCTTAGAGGGAAGGACTCATGGTTTAAGATCAGGACTTTGTAGCCAGGCAGCCTGGTTTAAATACTGACACCACTGATTCCTAGCTGGGTCTCCTTGGGCAAGTCACCTTGCATCTGTGAGCCTTGGTTTCCTCATCTGTAAAATGGGGATAGCCATGGGCCACACTCACAGGTTGTTATGATGGTTAAGTGAGGCAATCTATGTAAAGGGCTGGACTTGGCTCCTAGCACATAATAAGTGCTCAATAAATGTCAACTAGCTCCTTTCCACTACATATCACCCCTATCCTGGGCTAGATCCTGGGGTCAGGCAAGGGAGCGATGGGAGGAGGGGTTACCTAGGCAAGGAAGGGGGTGGAAGAGTGCTCTGGGCAGTGGGAACAATATATGCAAAGGCTTTGAGGTGGAAGTCTTTGAGGGAGCAAGGTAGAAGCTTCAGGGGGAGCTGGGACCCTGCTATGCCCCCAGCCACCACAGTAGGCCCCTTCCTGTTAAGGCTGTGAGGTCCTGAGCCAATGAAAAATGAAAATGGAAATGGTCCCAGAAATTGCCACCAAGGCATTTGCAGCTGGAGAGGAGGCAGTGTGGTGGAGTGGTCAGAGCAGAGCCTCCAAGCAGCTTGCCTGGGTTGGATTTGTGGCTTATCACCTACTGGCTGTGAAACCTTGGGCAACTTACTTAACCTCTTTGTGCTCAGTTTCTCCCTCTATAAAATGGGGCTAAAAATACCATCTGTCTCAAAAGGCGAGGGTAAGGATTAACTAAGGTAATATTTGTAAAGTGCATAGATCAGTAACTGGCACATGGCCCAGAGTTCTGTAAGTGTCTATTAAATGAATAAAGAAAAACATGTGGCAGCCTTAGGGAGGTGCCACTCAGATCTTCTCTGGACTACAGTCACTGAGAGCCTCCAGCTGCAACACCTTTGCAATCTGCCATAGTTGTCAGCACAGCCACTCTTCCAGGACAGGCCGGCTGATGACTGAGCATGGTGGGAAACTAGGGTCTGCCCT
Source organism: Homo sapiens (assembly GCF_000001405.40). Classification (NCBI taxonomy): domain Eukaryota; kingdom Metazoa; phylum Chordata; class Mammalia; order Primates; family Hominidae; genus Homo; species Homo sapiens. The sequence continues at coordinate 682,054 of NC_000020.11, read as the reverse complement.
TCTGTCGAGCACGGGACTCCTCTACAGGAAATCTTTGCACAGGAGCTCCCTGTTGGGTTGGCTAGGACTTCCTTAGACCTGCACCATGGCCTGAGGCTCCTCTTCCCCAATCTTTCTTTATTCCACCTCTCCTTTCACAGTATCAGACCTGCATCCCTCTCTGAAGGCTCTCCTCCATTTCTCACGGTGTTTTCTCAATAAATCTCTTACACTTACACCTCCATTTTCACATCTGCTTCCCGGAGGACCAAAGTGACACAAAAGAAAACACAGCCTTCCTCAAATTTCAGAGGACCTGCCACATGCCCTTGGGCAAGTCATCTCTGTGATGAGCCTGAATGAACAGAGCTGTGAGTTTGTTTCATCCTGCTCCTACCCTCTTTTCTTTGGCTCAGAGGAGGTGGGTCTGATAAAATACACTGGAGAAATGGCAGAGTAAGTGAAGCTTACCGGAGAGAGAGCCCCATCAGCGTGGAGCGGATGCATTTGTGGCTACTCTCCTCCTTGGAATTCATACAGAATTCCATTACCGGGTCTGGACAGCAGCTCAGGGACCATCTTGTCCCATTCCCATTTGACAGACAAGAAAGCTGGGGCCCAAAGGGGAGGGCAAAGGGAGCAGAAGCAGGGCTGGAACTGGGCTCCTGACTCCCAGGTCAGTGCTCCTTCCTGACCCCATAGAGTGAAGCCAGTGAATCATAGGATGCCCCAACCCCTCTTTATGGATGTGCAGGGTGAGGCCCAGGGTGGCTCTGCCAGCCACCTAGGGTCACACAGCCCTGAGACTCACACCTAGACCCTGGGAACTGCCCTTCTTCCTGATGGGCAGGGCACAGTTGAAATATGGAAGATGCCAGAGCAGACGAGGTAGGCCAGAGAGGGCTAAGCCTGCAGCCAGCTAGACCTATTATGCCAAGACCTGGGGCTCCTGGGCAGGAAGGCAGTAGGCCATGAAGACATGGGACACTCTTTAGCTCCTCTGTACAGTGACTATGTAGCCATGAACCAGTCATTTCAATAACAGCACCTTCTCCCATGAGGCCATGGTAAGGCTTAGATAAGTGAGGATATGTAAATAGCAACTGTCAACATTTATCAAGTTATTGTGTGCCAGGCACTGCTCTAAGCACTTGATGCCTATATTATCATTTAATCCTCACTGCAACCTTGTGAGACAGGCCCAATTTATACACCCATTTTACAGATGAGAAAATGGAGGCACAGAGAATTACACAGTCGGGAAATGGCAGAGCAGGAATTTAAACTGAAAATAGGCTGACTCCAAATCCCTCAATCTAAAGCCCCAGGCAAGGTCACCTTCTTCAAAGGGAAAGTGCTTAGCACACTGCCAGGCCTGTGGGGTGGCTCTGTAATGTTGCTGGCGATGTACTAATAATTATTATTGCCACTGGGGAAATTCACAATGCCAACTTCCCAAAAGTCAGAAGAATGAATAGTGAATATCCTGACATGGTTTACTAAACTTCAGCATTTCTTCTATTTGGAAGTAAGTGACAGTTAGCAAGTGCTCAAGATAAATATTTGTTGAACTATTTTTTTTTTCCTGAGATGGAGTCTTGCTCTGTCACAAGGCTGGAGTGCAGTGGCGCGATCTCAGCTCACTGCAACTTCCACCTCCTGGGTTCAAGAGATTCTCCTGCCTCAGCCTCCCTAGTAGCTGACACTACAGTCGCGCGCCACCATGCCCAACTAATTTTTGTATTTTTAGTAGAGATGGGGTTTCACAATGTTGGCCAGGATGGTCTCAATCTCTTGACCTCGTGATCCACCCGCCTCAGCCTCCCAAAGTACTGGGATTACAGGCGTGAGCCACTGCACCTGGCTGAACTGAAATATTTTATGATCTTTTTGGAAAACACAAAAAGAAGGGAGAGGGAAACCCCATAGTTCCAGACCCTTATTTCACTCTTTTGTGTGTGTTTATTTTTGTTTTGGTTCATGGTTGTGAACGTGCTGTGAGAGGTTTCTGTATTCTGCACCCCTCACTTAACACATTTTATGAGCTTTTCTCCCCAAATGAGAATTTTTAATGGCTGCAGAATACTACATGGAGTGAACGTCTTCTTCACAACCCTCTCCTTGCTTTCTCCAACCCAGGGTTTTTATTACCATCTCTGATGCTGCAGCGAACATCCTTGGGAATAAAAGTTATTTCCTTATTTCATGTGACTTAGAGAAATTAATTCCCCACAGTGAACTTCCTGAAACCAGTAAGCTGGGGTGGGGGGAGGTTTGGGGGACAGAAGGCCCTTCCTGGTGTCCTAGTGATGAAATTCTGCTGGCCATTGTGTATTTCATCCATACTTAAGGCCTCCTCCCCTCTGAAGGTATTTTGGAACCTCATCTTCAGGGCTCAAGGCTTCTTCTCATATGCTAAATGCACCCACACCACCTTCCAACCTGTGGTCAGAGACCTGGGGTTCTATCCTCAACCCGACACTAGTGGGCTGCAGGACCTATTAATACACCATTTCTGTGGGGCTTCCTTTGATCAGTTAAGGGGTGGATCACTATCTTGCCCAGTGAGAACAGTCCAGTCCCAGCTCTGTCAAAAGTTGCTGTGACCTATATTCCTTTTTAAGGACTCTGGGATCCGTTTTGCCATCTCTTAGATGTGAGGTTGGAGAGGTAGAACCATCAGGCAGGTGGAGGTGAGCTAGATGACACCCACTTGCCTTATTTACCCACAGTGAACTAGGCACCCCTAGAGGACAGAGATCCAAGTACCCAGCACAAACTAAAAAATATGGCTATACCACAATTGTCAATGACTGAACAAATAAGCAACTTCCTCTATGTAAACAGTGAAAAGTTATTCTCCAACCAATAGGTCTACTTAGTCACAGTTGTAAGCTATAGTTATAGGCTGAATCTCACCCCTACAATCATTCATTCTTTCATTCACTCATTCATTTGGGATTTATGGAGTAATCTCTGGGTCTGGCCCTGCTAACATGTTGAACTCATCTTCCTTCCCTTCTTGCTGTCCTCAGCTGCTCAAGCTCATTCCTGCCTCAGAGCCTTTGAACTTGTGAAGCCTCTGGCTGGAGCACTCTTTCCTGGGCTCCTTCCATGGCTGGCTCAAGTCTAGGTGCACATGCCACCTCTCCCAGGAGACCCTTGCTGGTCACCCTGCCTAAAGGCACCATCACTCTCCATCATCTCACCCTGTTTTATGTTCCTCACAGCACTGGTCAACTATCTGAAAATATATTGTTGATTTAAGGATTTTCTTGCTTGGTGTCCATCCACTCAATGAATGGACAGCTGCAAGATCAGCTGCAAGAAAGCAGGGACCAGAGATGCCTAGTTCACCACTCATTCCACAGAATCCCACTAACATGTAACAAATGAGCGCTGCATGCTACAGGCAAAACTGCATATATAGAACCCTCAAGCATTGAACTCCTACCATATGCCAGTCACCATTCCAAGCCCTTTATATGTAGTAACTCTTCTAACACTCCCAACAACACTTAGGTAGTGACAATTATTATTCCCATTTTATAAGTGGGGAAATTGAGGCACAGAGCGGTTGAGTAACTTGTCCAAGGACCTATGGCTAATAAGTAGGGGAGCTAGAAGACCCTCATGCACACTGTTAAGAGTGTGTTAAGCCATACATGGGACAGAGTCTTTGTCCTCATGAAGCTCAGGGACCAGTGGGTGAGTTGGCCCAGTCTGCAATGATGGAAGTCAGGGACACCTCCTGGAGGAAGTGACCCCTCGGCTGAGTCTTGAGAACAAGTAGGGGTTTCCTAGGGTGAAGTGCAGGGAAGGACTCTGGGCAGTGGAAATGGTATACAGGTCAAGAGAGCTGCAAGCCCAAAGCACCAGTAGGCACCTATGGCTGGAGCAGAGAATGCATGGGCGTGCCATGAGTCAAGGGTGTGGTCACTTCAACTCTCAGTGACAGAGGTTTAAAAAAGTCCCATGGGCAACATGGTGAAACCCCGTCTCTGATAAAAAGACAAAAAATTAGCCAGGCATGGTGGCGCACCCTGTAATCCCAGCTATTCAGGAGGCTGAGACAGGAGAATCACTTGAACCTGGGAGGCGGAGGTTGCAGTGGGCTGTGATCGCGCCATTGCACTCCAGCCTGGACAACGAGAGCGAAACTCCATCTCAAAAAAAAAAAAAATTCCCATGGGCAAGATATGAGGCAATGCAACAGGAAAGATGGTGGGGGACCTCTAGACCATGCAGGGCCTTGGCAAGATCAGGGGCCCCCATTGTTTTGGACCTGCAATGTTTTTCAATGTTTATATATAGGGAGTAAACTGCCTTAATTCCTTATTTCGGTCAGGGAAAACAATCTAAAACCATACAGGGCAAATTCAATGGCAAACCTTCTGCTTCCACATCCTTGCATCTTTATGTCTTTTGAAAATATTCAAGGCCAACAGATCCTGCATTGGAAACTCTAACTTATTATTATTATTATTATTATTTTGGAGATAGGGTCTCGCTCTTTCATCCAGGCTGGAGCGCAGTGGTGCCATTACAGCTCACTGCAGCCTCGAACTCCCAGGCCCAAGCGATCCTCCCACCACATCCTCCCAAGTAGCTAAGGCCACATGTGTGCACCACCACACCTGGCTAATTTTTTTTTTTTTTTTAACTATTTGTAGAGACAAGGTCTCACTATGTTGCCCAGGCTGGTCTCAAACTCCTGACCTCAAGTGATCCTCCTGCCTCAGCCTCCCAAAATGCTGGGATTACAGGCTTGAACCACCACGAGGGGCCCCAGTTTTATTCTGAGACTTCTGGGCTACACCTCAAGGACCATGATAGGCCCTGATTCAGTGGTGCCCAGAGGCCACTGAGGTCTCTGGCAATTGCTGCTGACTCACTGCATGACCTCAAGCACCTCCAAGCCCTCTCTAGGTCTTAGCCTGCAAACTGGTATTGGATGACCCAGTCCCAAAAGGACATCCCCACTCCACCAGCCTTGCATCTCATAACCAGAATTCCATTGACAGCGAGAGCCTGGAATTCCTAGAGTCTGATTCTGGGACTCTTGTGCACTGGCCATCCCACACTTGCTAAAGCAGGTCCGCCACCATGGGGCTTTGCCCAGCACCCTCTGGGCAGGGGGCTGAGCTCTCCTGCTCCTTGGTCCTGCCAAGATATGGGGGCTCCCCCAGGTTTGGGTCGGACTGGGGGTGGCGGGTCTGCTCAGATCCTTTTAGAGACAAAGGAGCTGACCTGCAAAGAGTTCCAGCAGGAGCCCCGCTCCCCCTCCCTTCCCCCCTCTCCCTTCCCAGTCCACGTGTCTCTATTGTCTGCTCCCCGCTTCAGGGAAAGACACTGCCTCGGATGTGTCAAAACCACCACCCCCCGGCAGCAGGAAAATTAATTACTGGACGATTTTCACTTCCTCTTGCAGCGCCCGCCTGAGCTAGGCACCGGAACAGGACCAACCGAGCAAGGCCAGGCATCGGCGTGGGGGACTTGCTCCCCCCACCAGTTCTGGAAGAAGAAAGTTGAACCCCAAACCCAACAGGGGGCTCCAGTGGGAGCCCGAGCAGGGGGGAGGGGAGACTTACTCTAGTGAAAGCTGAGCGTCCACCCTGGCCACTTCAGAACTGGGGGAGAGGGAGAGGACTGGAGGCGGGAGGGTGGCCGCTGGCCAGTGCGCACTCTTTCCTCTGCATCCCCTTCCCTGCGGCCCCATGTGCCTGAACCCCGCCTGCTCGGGACCGCTTTCCCTCCGTTCCCCTCGGCTTCCCCCTCTCTTTTGCACTTTTCTTTCCCTTTCTTTGCATCCCTGGGGGGGTTTCCTTTTTGTGTGCCTGGATTTCTCTTTTCCTCCCGTGGGTGTGTGTGTGTTGCTACTTCTCTCCATCTCTGTCTTTCTTCTCTCTCTGTTTCTCTCTTGTGTCTTTTTGTCCTTATCTTGGTCTCTCTGCTTCTATTTCTACCTCTCTCAGCGTGTGCGTCTCTCTTTCCCTGTATGTCTCTGTCTTTCTCCGAGTCTCTCTTCTTCTCCCCGCCCCCCTCACTCCCCTTTCTCCGTCCCTCTCTGTCTCTGCGCCTTTCTCGCCCTCACTTTCTCCCCTCCTGCCTGCTCCGGGCCTGCCCCCACCGCCGCCGGTTCAGGGGAACGTGTGCGGAGCGATTGTCCTGGGGGACATTTGATGGATTAGAGCGCCGAGCGGTTCCATTGCTAGGGGACCACCTGATCTCCAGCCTGCGTCCCATATAAAGCCGGCAGCCGGAGTGCTGAGCGCAGCTCCCGCGATCCCCTGTCTGCGCGCCGCCGCCGCCAAGCCCGAGCCCGAGCCGGGGCCGCCGCCACCGGTGCCGGCTCCGAGCGGCCTCCCGCGCTCCAGCCCGCTGGGAGCTGTCCAGTGCTGAAAACCCGCGCGGACACAGCCGATCGCGCCCGGCCGGCCGCCTCCCCGCACCGAGCCCCGCGCCGGCCGCGCCATGCCGCGCTCCTTCCTGGTAAAGAAGATCAAAGGGGACGGCTTCCAGTGCAGCGGGGTGCCGGCCCCCACCTACCACCCCTTGGAGACAGCCTACGTGCTGCCTGGCGCCCGGGGGCCTCCCGGGGACAACGGTGAGTGGGACCCGGCGGGGGCGGGGGGTTGGGAGAAGAGGCGAGGGGAGCTGGGGCCCTCCCCAGCTTGGGCCACGAGGAGGGGCGCGTGCGACAGGAAACCCCCGGGAGGAGATCTCTCTGGCCGTGGGCTCCTCCCGGGCTTTCCAAGGGCCGTGCGGGCGGGGCAGGGGCTAGGTCGTACAAAGGGAAAGTCGCGGGGTCGGCCCATCCCGCAGCCACGCGCCAGCCGGGACTTTGAAAGTTGTGGCCCTCAAATAGGGCTAGAGTGAGGGGGTGGCAAGAGAACACAGACGGGGCTGCTCGTGAAAGGCCAGCGCTGGGCACTGAGGCACAAGGCACTTTGAGGGTTCCCTCTCCCCCGTTGAGGAAGAGAAGCTGGCTGCCCGGGAAGGGGGAAGGTAAAGAGCCCTGGATGTTCAGTCCCTGGAGAGACAGGGTTGGTTCCCTGGGGGTGGCTGGGGGCGCCCTCCCTCCCTTCAAACCTGCTCCCCTGCCGATGTCACACAAGTGCTCTCAGACCCCCTCTCTCAATAACTCTTTTGTTACCCTCAGCCACATGCCTGCCAAAGGCTGGGCCTGTCCTGGGGACTGCAAGAAAGAGAGGATTTCTGGGAGGGGTTCCCCCAAAGTGGCTCCTGGTCCCCTGGATTGCACTCCTTCCCCATCCCCAGCTTCTCAACCCCCTCCAGAACCAACCCTGCTGCTCCTCGTAAGCCCCCTCCTCACTACACATACACACACACACACACACACACACACACACACACACACACACACTCCATCTCTTCTCAGAACAAGTTCCTGCAGGGACAAGGGTTTGAGGAACAAGAGAAGTCATTCAGGTGCAGAAGGGGGTGATCTCTGGAAGGCAGGGGAAAGTGGAGACTGCTTCTGTGGATCCCATCCTCCACCAAGGGGATCACAAAGGGGTTCTCCCCTGATGGCCCCCACCAGGGCAGGTGTCTGAAGAGGAGGTGTCCCTTTGGTAGTGAGAGATCTGACATCACATGTGGCAGCTTTGGGTTGTGTGTGTGTGTGTGTGTGTGTGTGTGTGTGTGTGTGTGTGAGAGAGAGAGAGAGAGAGAGATGGGGGTGGGGAAAGAGAGAGAGAGAAAGAGGGAGATTGAGAGAGGAGAAAAGAAAGGACTGAGGATGAGGGGGGAACTGAGATGGCAAAGACAGGAGCCTGGGAGGATGGGGGCTTCCACCTCTGGGATTTCCAAGCACTTCACCCACATTCCATCACTCTGCCACACCAGGTAGAGAGAGAGAGAGTGCTGGGCAAAGGGCTTTGTGACCTCATCAAGGTCAAAGAAGTTACAGAGTGATCAGGGATACAGCTACAGCCCCTCATCCACTGGCATCCCCCAGACCCTTAACAGAAACCCCTTCTCCTCTGCCCACATGTCCCTTATTCTACTGTCCTCTTTTCTTGATCACAGGGCCTCTTGAGGTGGAGGTCAGAAGCCCAGGGACATGGCTGAGCAGGGCTGAGGGCTGGCAGGACAGAGGGTGGACCTGGGGCCATGCCAAAGCTGGAGAGTGTGCGCTCAAAGCTGGTAGAAACTGAAATATCTGCAAGCTTGGGATATGGATCTCTTAAGGGACTGACACTGACACAAAGCTCTGGGATTCCACCCCCTGAAGCCCCGTTGGTCCTGTCCCCAGGCCAGCTGAGGAAACCCAGAGAAGCCCAGAGAATTTCCCATGCACAGCCAAAACTGCAGGCTGTTCCTCAGGAGGGAGGCAAGAGAATGCCTTGCCTTGAATTCAGTCCAAAAAAAAGCTTTGAAAGGAGCCCCTGAGTGAATAGTGGGAAGCAGGGCGGGTGCAGAGCCACCAGCAGGGTGTTTCTGCAGAGGTTCCACCGGGTTTAACACCCTAGAACCACCTCTGTCTTTGTCCCCTTCCCCATGGGTCTCCAGACCAACTCCCTCACCTCTCAGGAATCCTGAGGCTGTGCTGATAGCCAGAAACCTGGCCTGAAATTTGGAGGCCTGGGCTCTAGATCTCTCACATGCTGTGTGACCTTGGGCAAGTGCCTTCCCTTCTCTGGTCCTCAGCCTCCCCAGCAGTGAAAGAGTTTTGATGGCATAAACTAAGCATCCTTCCAACTTTGACAAGCTCAGCTTCTGTGAAGGTCAACTATGGAATGTCAGGCACTGGAGATGCCTGCACAGGGGTCTAACAGGATGCTGGGAGGCCACTGTCAGGGTTTCCTTAGGGCTCCACTGAACATACGCCACCTGGCTGAGGGTAGCGGCATTTCTGGGATCGGGCACTTTTCTTGGCTTTGGTCTCTGTAGGCTACCCCATAGTGAGGACAGGCACCCTGGCCTGGCCACCTTGGCAGTGTCTGCAGTGGACGGTCAGTGCCAGAGACCAAGCCTAGGTATGACTGGGAAATACAAAGTCTGCCTTGTCTTGTTTTCAGGGGCCTCTTCCCTCCCTGGGGTGCGGCCAGACTGGGCAGTGAGGGATCCCTTATTCCCTGGGCGGGTGGAGGGTGCTGGGGGTCTGCTGAGAGCCCGCCGGCTCCTGGTGGCCCGTTGTCTCCGCTCTGCCGGAAATAACCTTGCTGAGCATTTGAGGGAAGTGTGAAAAATTGCTGAGCCGACGTTTTTCTCTCTCAGCGTGTGTAAGTGTGCTGGGTAAACAAGGAGAAAGAGAGGAGGGGGGGAAGATGAGGAGAGGGAGGGAGGAGAAGCAAGGGAGGGAGGGAAGGAGAGAGGGAGGGAGGGAGGGCGGGGGAGGCCTGGGGCTGGAGATAGTTCCAGTTATTAGAAAGATCTTCTTACAAGCCATTCCTGCAGCTCGGGCTGCAGGGTCAGGATGAGGCTGGCGGGAGGGAAACCTGGGTCGGGGGAGCAGGGGTTGGGGGAGCCTGTGAATGTGGAGGTCAGAGAAACCACAAGCTCCTAGCTGATAAAGATGCAGAACCCCAAATTAAAGAGGTGTACCCCAGCTCTGGGAATGCCTGAGAATGCTGGAGAATTCCTGGAGGACTCCTGCTCCTCCTCCATACACACACACGCACGCGCGCACACACACACACACACACACACACACA